>NC_000004.12:50312061-50475169 GCF_000001405.40 Homo sapiens | reverse complement strand
TCTCTCTAGATTTTATATGTAATCCCGCTTCCAACGAAATCCTCAAAGCCATCCGAATATCCACTTTCTGATTCCACAAAAAGATTGTTTTAAAACTGCTCTGTAAAAACAAAAGTTCAAGTCTGTTAGTTGAATACACACATCACAAACAAGTTTCTGAGAATGCTTCTGTCTAGTTTTTATGGGAAGATATTTCCTTTTTCACCATAAGCCTCACAGCGCTCGAAATGTCCACTTCCAGATAGTGCAGAAAGAGTGTTTCAAACGTGCTCTATAAAAGAGAATATTCAACTCTGTGACTTGAATGGAAACATCACAAAGCAGTTTCTGAGAATGCCTCCGTCTAGATTTTATATGAAGATATTCCCGTTTCCAACGAAATCTTCAAATCTATCTAAATATCAACTTGCAGATTCTACTAAAGGAATGTTTCCAAAATGCTGTATCCAAGCAATGGTTCAACTCTGTTAATTGAGGACATACAGCACAAAGAAGTTTCTGAGAATGCTTCTGTCTAGATTTTATATGAAGATATCCCGTTTCCAACGAAATCCTCAAAGCTATCCAAATATCCACTTGCAGATTCTACAAAAAGATTGTTTCAAAACTGCTGTGTCAAAAGGAAGGTTCAACTCTGTTACTCGAGTACACACATCAAAAAGAAGTTTCTGAGAATGCTTGCTTTACTGGTTTTTATGAGAAGATATTTCCTTTTTCACCATAGGCCTCAAAGCGCTGCAAATGTCCACTTCCAAATATTACAAAAAGAGTGTTTCAAACCTGCTCTATGAAAGGAAGTTTTCAACTCTATGAGTGGAATGCAAACATAACAGAGAAGTTTCGGAGAATGCATCTGTCTTGAGTTTATATGAAGAAATTCCCGTTTCCAACGAAATCTTAAAATCTATCCAAATATCCACCTGCAGATTCTACAAAGGGAGTGTTTCCAAAATGCTGTATCAAAACAAAGGTTCAACTGTGTTCGTTTAGGACACACATCACCAATAAGTTTCTGAGAATCCTTCTGTCTAGTTTTTATTTGAAGATATTTCCTTTCTCCCCGTAGGCCTGAAAGCGCTTGAAATGTCCACTTCCAGATACTACAGAAAGAGTGTTTCAAACCTGCACTCTGAAAAGGAATGTTCAATTACTGTGACTTGAATGCAAACATCAGAAAGAAGTTCCTGAGAATGCTTCTCTCTAGATTTTATACGTCATCCCGTTTCCAACGAAATCCACAAAGCTATCCAATTATCCACTTTCAGATTCCACAGAAAGAGTGTTTTAAAATTGCTCTGTAACAGAAATGTTCAACTCTGGTAGTTGAATACACACATCACAAACAAGTTTCTGAGACGGCTTCTGTCTAGTTTTTATGGGAAGATATTTCCTTTTAACCATAGGCCTCAAAGAGCTCGAAATATCCACTTCCAGGTAGTGCCGAAAGAGTGTTTCAAACCTACTCTATAAAAGGGAATATTCAACTCTGTGACTTGAATGCAAACATCACAAAGCAGTTTCTGAGAATGCTTCCGTCTAGATTTTCTATGAAGATATTCCCGTTTCCAACGAAATCTTCAAAGCTATCTAAATATCAACTTGCAGATTCTACTAAAGGAATGTCTCCAAAATGCTGTATCCAAACAAAGGTTCAGCTCTGTGAATTGAGGACATACAGCACAAAGAAGTTTCTGAGAATGCTCCTGTCTGGATTTTATATGAAGATAACCCGTTTCCAACGAAATCCTCAAAGCTATCCAAATATCCACTTGCAGATTCTACCAAAAGAGTGTTTCAAAACTGCTCTGTCAAAAGGAAGGTTCAACACTGTTACTTGAGTACACACAACACAAAGAAGTTTCTGAGAATGCTTCTTTCTGGTTTTTATGAGAAGATATTTCCTTTTTCACCATAGGCCTCAAAGCGCTCGAAATGTCCACTTCCAGGTAGTGCAGAAAGAGTGTTTCAAACCTGCTCTATGAAAGGAAGTGTTCAACTCTACTGAGTTGAATGCAAACATCACAGAGATGTTTCCGAGAATGCTTCTGTCTTGATTTTATATGAAGATATTCCGGTTTCCAACGAAATCTTCAAAGCTATCCAAATATCCACCTGCAGATTCTACAAAAGGAGTGTTTCCAAAATGCTGTATGAAAACAAAGGTTCAACTCTGTTAGTTGAGGACACACATCACAAATAAGTTTCTGAGAATGCTTCTGTCTAGTTTTTATTTGAAGGTATTTCCTTTCTCTCCATAGGCCTGAAAGCGCTTGAAATGCCCACTTCCAGATACTAGAGAAAGAGTGTTTCAAACCTGCTCTATGAAAGGGAATGTTCAATTCTGTGACTTGAATGCAAACATCACAAAGAAGTTCCTGAGAATGCTTCTCTCTAGATATTATATGTCATCCCGTTTCCAACGAAATCCTCAAAGCTATCCAAATATCCACTTGCAGATTCTACAAAAAGAGTGTTTCAAAACTCCTCTGTCAAAAGGATGGTTCAACACTGTTACATGAGTACACACAACACAAAGAAGTTTCTGAGAATGCTTCTTTCTGGTTTCTATGAGAAGATATTTCCTTTTTCACCATAGGACTCAAAGCGCTCGAAATGTCCTCTTCCAGGTAGTGCAGAAAGAGTGTTTCAAACCTGCTCTATGAAAGGAAGTGTACAACTCCATGAGCTGAATGCAAACATCACTGAGAAGTTTCTGAGAATGCTTCTGTTTGATTTTATATGAAGAAATACCCGTTTCCAACGAAATCTTCAGAGCTATCCACATATCCACCTGCAGATTCTACAAAAGGAGTGTTTCCAAAATGCTGTATCAAAACCAAGGTTCAACTCTGTTAGTTGAGGACACACATCACAAATAAGTTTCTGAGAATGCTTCTGTCTAGATTTTATATGAAGATATCCCCTTTCCAACGAATCCCTCTAAGCTATCCAAATATCCACCTGCAGATTCTACAAAAAGAGTGTTTCCAAAATGCTGTATCAAAACAAAGTTTCAACTCTGTTAGTTGAGGACACACATCACAAATAAGTTTCTGAGGATGCTTCTGTCTAGTTTTAATTTGAAGATATTTCCTTTCTCACCATAGGCCTGAAAGCGCTTGAAATGTCCACTTCCAGATACTACAGAATGAGTGTTTCAAACCTGCTCTATCAAAGTGAATGTTCAATTCTGTGACTTCAATGCAAACATCACAAAGTAGTTCCTGAGAATGCTTCTCTCTAGATTTTATATGTAATCCCGCTTCCAACGAAATCCTCAAAGCCATCCGAATATCCACTTTCTGATTCCACAAAAAGATTGTTTTAAAACTGCTCTGTAAAAACAAAAGTTCAAGTCTGTTAGTTGAATACACACATCACAAACAAGTTTCTGAGAATGCTTCTGTCTAGTTTTTATGAGAAGATATTTCCTTTTTCACCATAGGCCTCAAAGCGCTCGAAATGTCCACTTCCAGATAGTGCAGAAAGAGTGTTTCAAACTTGCTCTATAAAAGAGAATATTCAACTCTGTGACTTGAATGGAAACATCACAAAGCAGTTTCTGAGAATGCCTCCGTCTAGATTTTATATGAAGATATTCCCGTTTCCAACGAAATCTTCAAATCTATCTAAATATCAACTTGCAGATTCTACTAAAGGAATGTTTCCAAAACGCTGTATCCAAGCAATGGTTCAACTCTGTTAATTGAGGACATACAGCACAAAGAAGTTTCTGAGAATGCTTCTGTCTAGATTTTATATGAAGATATCCCGTTTCCAACGAAATCCTCAAATCTATCCAAATATCCACTTGCAGATTCTACAAAAAGATTGTTTCAAAACTGCTGTGTCAAAAGGAAGGTTCAACTCTGTTACTCGAGTACACACATCACAATGAAGTTTCTGAGAATCATTGTTTCTGGTTTTTATGAGAAGATATTTCCTTTTTCACCATAGGCCTCAAAGCGCTGCAAATGTCCACTTCCAAATATTACAAAAAGAGTGTTTCAAACCTGCTCTATGAAAGGAAGTTTTCAACTCTATGAGTGGAATGCAAACATCACAGAGAAGTTTCGGAGAATGCATCTGTCTTGAGTTTAAATGAAGAAATTCCCGTTTCCAACGAAATCTTAAAATCTATCCAAATATCCACCTGCAGATTCTACAAAGGGAGTGTTTCCAAAATGCTGTATCAAAACAAAGGTTCAACTGTGTTCGTTTAGGACACACATCACCAATAAGTTTCTGAGAATCCTTCTGTCTAGTTTTTATTTGAAGATATTTCCTTTCTCCCCATAGGCCTGAAAGCGCTTGAAATGTCCACTTCCAGATACTACAGAAAGATTGTTTCAAACCTGCACTATGAAAAGGAATGTTCAATTCTGTGACTTGAATGCAAACATCAGAAAGAAGTTCCTGAGAATGCTTCTCTCTAGATTTTATACGTCATCCCGTTTCCAACGAAATCCACAAAGCTATCCAATTATCCACTTTCAGATTCCACAAAAAGAGTGTTTTAAAACTGCTCTGTAAAAAGAAATGTTCAACGCTCTTAGTTGAATACACACATCTCAAACAAGTTTCTGAGAAGGCTTCCGTCTAGTTTTTATGGGAAGATATTTCCTTTTTCACCATAGGCCTCAAAGCGCTCGAAATCTCCACTTCCAGGGAGTGCAGAAAGAGTGTTTCAAACCTGCTCTGTAAAAGAATATTTAACTCTGTGACTTGAATTTAAAAATCACAAAGCAGTTTCTGGCAATGCTTCCGTCTAGATTTTTTATGAAGATATTCCCGTTTCCAACGAAATCTTCAAAGCTGTCTAAATATCAACTTGCAGATTCTACTAAAGGAATGTTTCCAAAATGCTGTATCCAAACAAAGGTTCAACTCTGTGAATTGAGGACATACAGCACAAAGAAGTTTCTGAGAATGCTTCTGTCTAGATTTAATATGAAGATAACCCGTTTCCAACGAAATCCTCAAAGCTATCCAATTATACACTTGCAGATTCTACAAAAAGAGTGTTTCAAAACTGCTCTGTCAAAAGGATGGTTCAACACTGTTACATGAGTACACACAACACAAAGAAGTTTCTGAGAACGCTTCTTTCTGGTTTTTATGAGAAGATATTTCCTTTTTCACCATAGGCCTCAAAGCGCTCGAAATGTCCACTTCCTGGTAGTGCAGAAAGAGTGTTTCAAAGCTGCTCTATGAAAGGAAGTGTTCAACTCCATGAGCTGAATGCAAACATCACAGAGAAGTTTCTGAGAATGCTTCTGTTTGATTTTATATGAAGAAATTCCCGTTTCCAACGAAATCTTCAAAGCTATCCACATATCCACCTGCAGATTCTACAAAAGGAGTGTTTCCAAAATGCTGTATCAAAACCAAGGTTCCACTCTGTTAGTTGAGGACACACATCACAAATAAGTTTCTGAGAATGCTTCTGTCTAGATTTTATATGAAGATATCCCCTTTCCAACGAATCCCTCTAAGCTATCCAAATATCCACCTGCAGATTCTACAAAAGGAGTGTTTCCAAAATGCTGTATCAAAACAAAGTTTCCACTCTGTTAGTTGAGGACACACATCACAAATAAGTTTCTGAGGATGCTTCTGTCTAGTTTTTATTTGAAGATATTTCCTTTCTCACCATAGGCCTGAAAGCGCTTGAAATGTCCACTTCCAGATACTACAGAATGAGTGTTTCAAACCTGCTCTATCAAAGTGAATGTTCAATTCTGTGACTTCAATGCAAACATCACAAAGTAGTTCCTGAGAATGCTTCTCTCTAGATTTTATATGTAATCCCGCTTCCAACGAAATCCTCAAAGCCATCCGAAAATCCACTTTCTGATTCCACAAAAAGATTGTTTTAAAACTGCTCTGTAAAAACAAAAGTTCAAGTCTGTTAGTTGAATACACACATCACAAACAAGTTTCTGAGAATGCTTCTGTCTAGTGTTTATGGGAAGATATTTCCTTTTTCACCATAGGCCTCAAAGCGCTCGAAATGTCCACTTCCAGATAGTGCAGAAAGAGTGTTTCAAACGTGCTCTATAAAAGAGAATATTCAACTCTGTGACTTGAATGGAAACATCACAAAGCAGTTTACTGAGAATGCTTCCGTCTAGATTTTATATGAAGATATTCCCGTTTCCAACGAAATCTTCAAAGCTATCTAAATATCAACTTGCAGATTCTACTAAAGGAATGTTTCCAAAATGCTGTATCCAAGCAATGGTTCAACTCTGTTAATTGAGGACATACAGCACAAAGAAGTTTCTGAGAATGCTTCTGTCTAGATTTTATATGAAGATATCCCGTTTCCAACGAAATCCTCAAAGCTATCCAAATATCCACTTGCAGATTCTACAAAAAGATTGTTTCAAAACTGCTGTGTGAAAAGGAAGGTTCAACTCTGTTACTTGAGTACACACATCAAAAAGCAGTTTCTGAGAATGCTTGTTTCTGGTTTTTATGAGAAGATATTTCCTTTTTCACCATAGGCCTCAAAGCGCTGCAAATGTCCACTTCCAAATATTACAAAAAGAGTGTTTCAAACCTGCTCTATGAAAGGAAGTTTCCAACTCTGTGAGTGGAATGCAAACATCACAGAGAAGTTTCTGAGAATGCATCTGTCTTCAGTTTATATGAAGAAATTCCCGTTTCCAATGAAATCTTAAAATCTACCCAAATATCCACCTGCAGATTCTACAAAAGGAGTGTTTCCAAAATGCTGTATCAAAACAAAGGTTCAACTGTGTTCGTTTAGGACACACATCACAAATAAGTTTCTGAGAATCCTTCTGTCTAGTTTTTATTTCAAGATATTTCCTTTCTCCCCATAGGCTTGAAAGCGCTTGAAATGTCCACTTCCAGATACTACATAGTGTTTCAAACCTGCACTATGAAAAGGAATGTTCAATTCTGTGACTTGAATGCAAACATCAGAAAGAAGTTCCTGAGAATGCTTCTCTCTAGATTTTTTACGTCATCCCGTTTCCAACGAAATCCACAAAGCTATCCAATTTTCCACTTTCAGATTCCACCAAAAGAGTGTTTTAAAACTGCTCTGTAAAAAGAAATGTTCAACGCTCTTAGTTGAATACACACATCTCAAACAAGTTTCTGAGAAGGCTTCTGTCTAGTTTTTATGGGAAGATATTTCCTTTTAACCATAGGCCTCAAAGAGCTCGAAATATCCACTTCCAGGTAGTGCCGAAAGAGTGTTTCAAACCTACTCTATAAAAGGGAATATTCAACTCTGTGACTTGAATGCAAACATCACAAAGCAGTTTCTGAGAATGCTTCCGTCTAGATTTTCTATGAAGATATTCCCGTTTCCAACGAAATCTTCAAAGCTATCTAAATATCAACTTGCAGATTCTACTAAAGGAATGTCTCCAAAATGCTGTATCCAAACAAAGGTTCAGCTCTGTGAATTGAGGACATACAGCACAAAGAAGTTTCTGAGAATGCTCCTGTCTGGATTTTATATGAAGATAACCCGTTTCCAACGAAATCCTCAAAGCTATCCAAATATCCACTTGCAGATTCTACCAAAAGAGTGTTTCAAAACTGCTCTGTCAAAAGGAAGGTTCAACACTGTTACTTGAGTACACACAACACAAAGAAGTTTCTGAGAATGCTTCTTTCTGGTTTTTATGAGAAGATATTTCCTTTTTCACCATAGGCCTCAAAGAGCTCGAAATGTCCGCTTCCAGGTAGGGCAGAAAGAGTGTTTCAAACCTGCTCTAGGAAAGGAAGTGTTCAACTCTACTGAGTTGAATGCAAACATCACAGAGATGTTTCCGAGAATGCTTCTGTCTTGATTTTATAGGAAGATATTCCGGTTTCCAACGAAATCTTCAAAGCTATCCAAATATCCACCTGCAGATTCTACAAAAGGAGTGTTTCCAAAATGCTGTATCAAAACAAAGGTTCAACTCTGTTAGTTGAGGACACACATCACAAATAAGTTTCTGAGAATGCTTCTGTCTAGTTTTTATTTGAAGGTATTTCCTTTCTCTCCATAGGCCTGAAAGCGCTTGAAATGCCCACTTCCAGATACTAGAGAAAGAGTGTTTCAAACCTGCTCTATGAAAGGGAATGTTCAATTCTGTGACTTGAATGCAAACATCACAAAGAAGTTCCTGAGAATGCTTCTCTCTAGATATTATATGTCATCCCGTTTCCAACGAAATCATCAAAGCTATCCAAATATCCACTTGCAGATTCTACAAAAAGAGTGTTTCAAAACTGCTCTGTCAAAAGGATGGTTCAACACTGTTACATGAGTACACACAACACAAAGAAGTTTCTGAGAATGCTTCTTTCTGGTTTCTATGAGAAGATATTTCCTTTTTCACCATAGGACTCAAAGCGCTCGAAATGTCCTCTTCCAGGTAGTGCAGAAAGAGTGTTTCAAACCGGCTCTATGAAAGGAAGTGTTCAACTCCATGAACTGAATGCAAACATCACTGAGAAGTTTCTGAGAATGCTTCTGTTTGATTTTCTATGAAGAAATTCCCGTTTCCAACGAAATCTTCAGAGCTATCCACATATCCACCTGCAGATTCTACAAAAGGAGTGTTTCCAAAATGCTGTATCAAAACCAAAGTTCAACTCTGTTAGTTGAGGACACACATCACAAATAAGTTTCTGAGAATGCTTCTGTCTAGATTCTATATGAAGATATCCCCTTTCCAACGAATCCCTCTAAGCTATCCAAATATCCACCTGCAGATTCTACAAAAAGAGTGTTTCCAAAATGCTGTATCAAAACAAAGTTTCAACTCTGTTAGTTGAGGACACACATCACAAATAAGTTTGAGGATGCTTCTGTCTAGTTTTTATTCGAAGATATTTCCTTTCTCACCATAGGCCTGAAAGCGCTTGAAATGTACACTTCCAGATACTACAGAATGAGTGTTTCAAACCTGCTCTATCAAAGTGAATGTTCAATTCTGTGACTTCAATGCAAACATCACAAAGAAGTTCCTGAGAATGCTTCTCTCTAGATTTTATATGTAATCCCGCTTCCAACGAAATCCTCAGAGCCATCCGAATATCCACTTTCTGATTCCACAAAAAGAGTGTTTTAAAACGGCTCTGTAAAAACAAAAGTTCAACTCTGTTAGTTGAATACACACATCACAAACAAGTTTCTGAGAATGCTTCTGTCTAGTTTTTATGGGAAGATATTTCCTTTTTCACCATAGGCCTCAAAGCGCTCGAAATGTCCGCTTCCAGATAGTGCAGAAAGAGTGTTTCAAACGTGCTCTATAAAAGGGAATATTCAACTCTGTGACTTGAATGGAAACATCACAAAGCAGTTTCTGAGAATGCTTCCCTCTAGATTTTATATGGAGATATTCCGTTTTCGAACGAAATCTTCAAATCTATCTAAATATCAACTTGCAGATTCTACTCAAGGAATGTTTCCAAAATGCTGTATGCAAGCAATGGTTCAACTCTGTAAATTGAGGTCATACAGCACAAAGAAGTTTCTGAGAATGCTTCTGTCTAGATTTTATATGAAGATATCCCGTTTCCAACGAAATCCTCAAAGCTATCCAAATATCCACTTGCAGATTCTACAAAAAGATTGTTTCAAAACTGCTGTGTCAAAAGGAAGGTTCAACTCTGTTACTTGAGTACACACATCAAAAAGAAGTTTCTGAGAATGCTTGTTTCTGGTTTTTATGAGAAGATATTTCCTTTTTCACCATAGGCCTCAAAGCGCTGCAAAGGTCCACTTCCAAATATTACAAAAAGAGTGTTTCAAACCTGCTCTATGAAAGGAAGTTTTCAACTCTATGAGTGGAATGCAAACATCACAGAGAAGTTTCTGAGAATGCATCTGTCTTGAGTTTCTATGCAGAAATTCCCGTTTCCAATGAAATCTTAAAATCTATCCAAATATCCACCTGCAGATTCTACAAAAGGAGTGTTTCCAAAATGCTGTATCAAAACAAAGGTTCAACTGTGTTCGCTTAGGACACACATCACAAATAAGTTTCTGAGAATCCTTCTGTCTAGTTTTTATTTGAAGATATTTCCTTTCTCCCCATAGGCCTGAAAGTGCTTGAAATGTCCACTTCCAGATACTACAGAAAGAGTGTTTCAAACCTGCACTATGAAAAGGAATGTTCAATTCTGTGACTTGAATGGAAACATCAGAAAGAAGTTCCTGAGAATGCTTCTCTCTAGATTTTATACGTAATCCCGTTTCCAACGAAATCCACAAAGCTATCCAATTATCCACTTTCAGATTCCACAAAAAGAGTGTTTTAAAACTGCTCTGTAGAAAGAAATGTTCAACGCTCTTAGTTGAATACACACATCTCAAACAAGTTTCTGAGAAGGCTTCCGTCTAGTTTTTATGGGAAGATATTTCCTTTTTCACCATAGGCCTCAAAGCACTCGAAATCTCCACTTCCAGGGAGTGCAGAAAGAGTGTTTCAAACCTGCTCTGTAAAAGAATATTTAACTCTGTGACTTGAATGCAAACATCACAAAGCAGTTTCTGACAATGCTTCCGTCTAGATTTTTTATGAAGATATTCCCGTTTCCAACGAAATCTTCAAAGCTATCTAAATATCAACTTGCAGATTCTACTAAAGGAATGTTTCCAAAATGCTGTATCCAAGCAATGGTTCAACTCTGTTAATTGAGGACATACAGCACTAAGAAGTTTCTGAGAATGCTTCTGTCTAGATTTTATATGAAGATATCCCATTTCCAACGAAATCCTCAAAGCTATCCAAATATCCACTTGCAGATTCTACAAAAAGATTGTTTCAAAACTGCTCTGTCAAAAGGATGGTTCAACACTGTTACATGAGTACACACAACACAAAGAAGTTTCTGAGAACGCTTCTTTCTGGTTTTTATGAGAAGATATTTCCTTTTTCACCATAAGCCTCAAAGCGCTCGAAATGTCCACTTCCTGGTAGTGCAGAAAGAGTTTTTCAAACCTGCTCTATGAAAGGAAGTGTTCAACTCCATGAGCTGAATGCAAACATCACAGAGAAGTTTCTGAGAATGCTTCTGTTTGATTTTATATGAAGAAATTCCCGTTTCCAACGAAATCTTCAAAGCTATCCACATATCCACCTGCAGATTCTACAAAAGGAGTGTTTCCAAAATGCTGTATCAAAACCAAGGTTCCACTCTGTTAGTTGAGGACACACATCACAAATAAGTTTCTGAGAATGCTTCTGTCTAGATTTTATATGAAGATATCCCCTTTCAAACGAATCCCTCTAAGCTATCCCAACATCCACCTGCAGATTCTACAAAAAGAGTGTTTCCAAAATGCTGTATCAAAACAAAGTTTCAACTCTGTTAGTTGAGGACACACATCACAAATAAGTTTCTGAGGATGCTTCTCTCTAGTTTTTATTTGAAGATATTTCCTTTCTCCCCATAGGCCTGAAAGCGCTTGAATTGTCCGCTTCCAGATACTACAGAATGAGTGTTTCAAACCTGCTCTATCAAAGTGAATGTTCAATTCTGTGACTTCAATGCAAACATCACAAAGAAGTTCCTGAGAATGCTTCTCTCTAGATTTTATATGTAATCCCGCTTCCAACGAAGTCCTCAAAGCCATCCGAATATCCACTTTCTGATTCCACAAAAAGATTGTCTTAAAACTGCTCTGTAAAAACAAAAGTTCAAGTCTGTTAGTTGAATACACACATCACAAACAAGTTTCTGAGAATGATTCTGTCTAGTTTTTATGGGAAGATATTTCCTTTTTCACCATAGGCCTCACAGCGCTTGAAATGTCCACTTCCAGATAGTGCAGAAAGAGTGTTTCAAACGTGCTCTATAAAAGAGAATATTCAACTCTGTGACTTGAATGGAAACATCACAAAGCAGTTTCTGAGAATGCCTCCGTCTAGATTTTATATGAAGATATTCCCGTTTCCAACGAAATCTTCAAATCTATCTAAATATCAACTTGCAGATTCTACTAAAGGAATGTTTCCAAAATGCTGTATCCAAGCAATGGTTCAACTCTGTTAATTGAGGACATACAGCACAAAGAAGTTTCTGAGAATGCTTCTGTCTAGATTTTATATGAAGATATCCCGTTTCCAACGAAATCCTCAAAGCTATCCAAATATCCACTTGCAGATTCTACAAAAAGATTGTTTCAAAACTGCTGTGTCAAAAGGAAGGTTCAACTCTGTTACTTGAGTACACACATCAAAAAGAAGTTTCTGAGAATGGTTGTTTCTGGTTTTTATGAGAAGATATTTCCTTTTTCACCATAGGCCTCAAAGCGCTGCAAATTTCCACTTCCAAATATTACAAAAAGAGTGTTTCAAACCTGCTCTATGAAAGGAAGTTTTCAACTCTATGAGTGGAATGCAAACATCACAGAGAAGTTTCTGAGAATGCATCTGTCTTGAGTTTCTATGAAGAAATTCCCGTTTCCAACGAAATCTTAAAATCTATCCAAATATCCACCTGCAGATTCTACAAAAGGAGTGTTTCCAAAAGGCTGTATCAAAACAAAGGTTCAACTGTGTTCGTTTAGGACACACATCACCAATAAGTTTCTGAGAATCCTTCTGTCTAGTTTTTATTTGAAGATATTTCCTTTCTCCCCATAGGCCTGAAAGCGCTTGAAATGTCCACTTCCAGATACTACAGAAAGAGCGTTTCAAACCTGCACTATGAAAAGGAATGTTCAATTCTGTGACTTGAATGCAAACATCAGAAAGAAGTTCCTGAGAATGCTTCTCTCTAGATTTTATACGTCATCCCGTTTCCAACGAAATCCACAAAGCTATCCAATTATCCACTTTCAGATTTCACAGAAAGAGTGTTTTAAAATTGCTCTGTAACAGAAATGTTGAACTCTGTTAGTTGAATACACACATCACAAACAAGTTTCTGAGACGGCTTCTGTCTAGTTTTTATTTGAAGATATTTCCTTTTAAGCATAGGCCTCAAAGAGCTCGAAATATCCACTTCCAGGTAGTGCCGAAAGAGTGTTTCAAACCTACTCTATAAAAGGGAATATTCAACTCTGTGACTTGAATGCAAACATCACAAAGCAGTTTATGAGAATGCTTCCGTCTAGATTTTATATGAAGATATTCCCGTTTCCAACGAAATCTTCAAAGCTATCTAAATATCAACTTGCAGATTCTACTAAAGGAATGTTTCCAAAATGTTGTATCCAAGCAATGGTTCAACTCTGTTAATTGAGGACATACAGCACAAAGAAGTTTCTGAGAATGCTCCTGTCTGGATTTTATATGAAGATATCCCGTTTCCAACGAACTCCTCAAAGCTATCCAAATATCCACTTGCAGATTCTACAAAAAGATTGTTTCAAAACTGCTGTGTCAATAGGAAGGTTCAAGTCTGTTACTTGAGTACACACATCAAAAAGAAGTTTCTGAGAATGCTTGTTTCTGGTTTTTATGAGAAGATATTTCCTTTTTCACCATAGGCCTCAAAGCGCTGCAAATGTCCACTTCCAAATATTACAAAAAGAGTGTTTCAAACGTGCTCTATGAAAGGAAGTTTTCAACTCTATGAGTGGAATGCAAACATCACAGAGAAGTTTCGGAGAATGCATCTGTCTTGAGCTTCTATGAAGAAATTCCCGTTTCCAACGAAATCTTAAAATCTATCCAAATATCCACCTGCAGATCCTACAAAAGGAGTGTTTCCAAAATGCTGTATCAAAACAAAGGTTCAACTGTGTTCGTTTAGGACACACATCACAAATAAGTTTCTGAGAATCCTTCTGTCTAGTTTTTATTTGAAGATATTTCCTTTCTCCCCGTAGGCCTGAAAGCGCTTGAAATGTCCACTTCCAGATACTACAGAAAGAGTGTTTCAAACCTGCACTCTGAAAAGGAATGTTCAATTCTGTGACTTGAATGCAAACATCAGAAAGAAGTTCCTGAGAATGCTTCTCTCTAGATTTTATACGTCATCCCGTTTCCAACGAAATCCACAAAGCTATCCAATTATCCACTTTCAGATTCCACAAAGAGTGTTTTAAAATTGCTCTGTAACAGAAATGTTCAACTCTGTTAGTTGAATACACACATCACAAACAAGTTTCTGAGACGGCTTCTGTCTAGTTTTTATGGGAAGATATTTCCTTTTAACCATAGGCCTCAAAGAGCTCGAAATATCCACTTCCAGGTAGTGCCGAAAGAGTGTTTCAAACCTACTCTATAAAAGGGAATATTCAACTCTGTGACTTGAATGCAAACATCACAAAGCAGTTTCTGAGAATGCTTCCGTCTAGATTTTCTATGAAGATATTCCCGTTTCCAACGAAATCTTCAAAGCTATCTAAATATCAACTTGCAGATTCTACTAAAGGAATGTCTCCAAAATGCTGTATCCAAACAAAGGTTCAGCTCTGTGAATTGAGGACATACAGCACAAAGAAGTTTCTGAGAATGCTCCTGTCTGGATTTTATATGAAGATAACCCGTTTCCAACGAATTCCTCAAAGCTATCCAAATATCCACTTGCAGATTCTACCAAAAGAGTGTTTCAAAACTGCTCTGTCAAAAGGAAGGTTCAACACTGTTACTTGAGTACACACAACACAAAGAAGTTTCTGAGAATGCTTCTTTCTGGTTTTTATGAGAAGATATTTCCTTTTTCACCATAGGCCTCAAAGCGCTCGAAATGTCCGCTTCCAGGTAGTGCAGAAAGAGTGTTTCAAACCTGCTCTATGAAAGGAAGTGTTCAACTCTACTGAGTTGAATGCAAACATCACAGAGATGTTTCCGAGAATGCTTCTGTCTTGATTTTATATGAAGATATTCCGGTTTCCAACGAAATCTTCAAAGCTATCCAAATATCCACCTGCAGATTCTACAAAAGGAGTGTTTCCAAAATGCTGTATCAAAACAAAGGTTCAACTCTGTTAGTTGAGGACACACATCACAAATAAGTTTCTGAGAATGCTTCTGTCTAGTTTTTATTTGAAGGTATTTCCTTTCTCTCCATAGGCCTGAAAGCGCTTGAAATGCCCACTTCCAGATACTAGAGAAAGAGTGTTTCAAACCTGCTCTATGAAAGGGAATGTTCAATTCTGTGACTTGAATGCAAACATCACAAAGAAGTTCCTGAGAATGCTTCTCTCTAGATATTATATGTCATCCTGTTTCCAACGAAATCCTCAAAGCTATCCAAATATCCACTTGCAGATTCTACAAAAAGAGTGTTTCAAAACTGCTCTGTCAAAAGGATGGTTCAACACTGTTACATGAGTACACACAACACAAAGAAGTTTCTGAGAATGCTTCTTTCTGGTTTCTATGAGAAGATATTTCCTTTTTCACCATAGGACTCAAAGCGCTCGAAATGTCCTCTTCCAGGTAGTGCAGAAAGAGTGTTTCAAACCGGCTCTATGAAAGGAAGTGTTCAACTCCATGAACTGAATGCAAACATCACTGAGAAGTTTCTGAGAATGCTTCTGTTTGATTTTATATGAATAAATTCCCGTTTCCAACGAAATCTTCAGAGCTATCCACATATCCACCTGCAGATTCTACAAAAGGAGTGTTTCCAAAATGCTGTATCAAAACCAAGGTTCAACTCTGTTAGTTGAGGACACACATCACAAATAAGTTTCTGAGAATGCTTCTGTCTAGATTTTATATGAAGATATCCCCTTTCCAACGAATCCCTCTAAGCTATCCAAATATCCACCTGCAGATTCTACAAAAAGAGTGTTTCCAAAATGCTGTATCAAAACAAAGTTTCAACTCTGTTAGTTGAGGACACACATCACAAATAAGTTTCTGAGGATGCTTCTGTCTAGTTTTTATTCGAAGATATTTCCTTTCTCACCATAGGCCTGAAAGCGCTTGAAATGTCCACTTCCAGATCCTACAGAATGAGTGTTTCAAACCTGCTCTATCAAAGTGAATGTTCAATTCTGTGACTTCAATGCAAACATCACAAAGAAGTTCCTGAGAATGCTTCTCTCTAGATTTTATATGTAATCCCGCTTCCAACGAAATCCTCAGAGCCATCCGAATATCCACTTTCTGATTCCACAAAAAGAGTGTTTTAAAACGGCTCTGTAAAAACAAAAGTTCAACTCTGTTAGTTGAATACACACATCACAAACAAGTTTCTGAGAATGCTTCTGTCTAGTTTTTATGGGAAGATATTTCCTTTTTCACCATAGGCCTCAAAGCGCTCGAAATGTCCACTTCCAGATAGTGCAGAAAGAGTGTTTCAAACGTGCTCTATAAAAGGGAATATTCAACTCTGTGACTTGAATGGAAACATCACAAAGCAGTTTCTGAGAATGCTTCCCTCTAGATTTTATATGGAGATATTCCCTTTTCCAACGAAATCTTCAAATCTATCTAAATATCAACTTGCAGATTCTACTCAAGGAATGTTTCCAAAATGCTGTATCCAAGCAATGGTTCAACTCTGTTAATTGAGGACATACAGCACAAAGAAGTTTCTGAGAATGCTTCTGTCTAGATTTTATATGAAGATATCCCGTTTCCAACGAAATCCTCAAAGCTATCCAAATATCCACTTGCAGATTCTACAAAAAGATTGTTTCAAAACTGCTGTGTCAAAAGGAAGGTTCAACTCTGTTACTTGAGTACACACATCAAAAAGAAGTTTCTGAGAATGCTTGTTTCTGGTTTTTATGAGAAGATATTTCCTTTTTCACCATAGGCCTCAAAGCGCTGCAAATGTCCACTTCCAAATATTACAAAAAGAGTGTTTCAAACCTGCTCTATGAAAGGAAGTTTTCAACTCTATGAGTGGAATGCAAACATCACAGAGAAGTTTCTGAGAATGCATCTGTCTTGAGTTTATATGCAGAAATTCCTGTTTCCAACGAAATCTTAAAATCTATCCAAATATCCACCTGCAGATCCTACAAAAGGAGTGTTTCCAAAATGCTGTATCAAAACAAAGGTTCAACTGTGTTCGTTTAGGACACACATCACAAATAAGTTTCTGAGAATCCTTCTGTCTAGTTTTTATTTGAAGATATTTCCTTTCTCCCCGTAGGCCTGAAAGCGCTTGAAATGTCCACTTCCAGATACTACAGAAAGAGTGTGTTTCAAACCTGCACTCTGAAAAGGAATGTTCAATTCTGTGACTTGAATGCAAACATCAGAAAGAAGTTCCTGAGAATGCTTCTCTCTAGATTTTATACGTCATCCCGTTTCCAACGAAATCCACAAAGCTATCCAATTATCCACTTTCAGATTCCACAAAAAGAGTGTTTTAAAATTGCTCTGTAACAGAAATGTTCAACTCTGGTAGTTGAATACACACATCACAAACAAGTTTCTGAGACGGCTTCTGTCTAGTTTTTATGGGAAGATATTTCCTTTTAACCATAGGCCTCAAAGAGCTCGAAATATCCACTTCCAGGTAGTGCCGAAAGAGTGTTTCAAACCTACTCTATAAAAGGGAATATTCAACTCTGTGACTTGAATGCAAACATCACAAAGCAGTTTCTGAGAATGCTTCCGTCTAGATTTTCTATGAAGATATTCCCGTTTCCAACGAAATCTTCAAAGCTATCTAAATATCAACTTGCAGATTCTACTAAAGGAATGTCTCCAAAATGCTGTATCCAAACAAAGGTTCAGCTCTGTGAATTGAGGACATACAGCACAAAGAAGTTTCTGAGAATGCTCCTGTCTGGATTTTATAGGAAGATAACCCGTTTCCAACGAAATCCTCAAAGCTATCCAAATATCCACTTGCAGATTCTACCAAAAGAGTGTTTCAAAACTACTCTGTCAAAAGGAAGGTTCAACACTGTTACTTGAGTACACACAACACAAAGAAGTTTCTGAGAATGCTTCTTTCTGGTTTTTATGAGAAGATATTTCCTTTTTCACCATAGGCCTCAAAGCGCTCGAAATGTCCGCTTCCAGGTAGTGCAGAAAGAGTGTTTCAAACCTGCTCTATGAAAGGAAGTGTTCAACTCTACTGAGTTGAATGCAAACATCACAGAGATGTTTCCGAGAATGCTTCTGTCTTGATTTTATATGAAGATATTCCGGTTTCCAACGAAATCTTCAAAGCTATCCAAATATCCACCTGCAGATTCTACAAAAGGAGTGTTTCCAAAATGCTGTATCAAAACAAAGGTTCAACTCTGTTAGTTGAGGACACACATCACAAATAAGTTTCTGAGAATGCTTCTGTCTAGTTTTTATTTGAAGGTATTTCCTTTCTCTCCATAGGCCTGAAAGCGCTTGAAATGCCCACTTCCAGATACTAGAGAAAGAGTGTTTCAAACCTGCTCTATGAAAGGGAATGTTCAATTCTGTGACTTGAATGCAAACATCACAAAGAAGTTCCTGAGAATGCTTCTCTCTAGATATTATATGTCATCCCGTTTCCAACGAAATCCTCAAAGCTATCCAAATATCCACTTGCAGATTCTACAAAAAGAGTGTTTCAAAACTCCTCTGTCAAAAGGATGGTTCAACACTGTTACATGAGTACACACAACACAAAGAAGTTTCTGAGAATGCTTCTTTCTGGTTTCTATGAGAAGATATTTCCTTTTTCACCATAGGACTCAAAGGGCTCGAAATGTCCTCTTCCAGGTAGTGCAGAAAGAGTGTTTCAAACCTGCTCTATGACAGGAAGTGTACAACTCCATGAGCTGAATGCAAACATCACTGAGAAGTTTCTGAGAATGCTTCTGTTTGATTTTATATGAAGAAATACCCGTTTCCAACGAAATCTTCAGAGCTATCCACATATCCACCTGCAGATTCTACAAAAGGAGTGTTTCCAAAATGCTGTATCAAAACCAAGGTTCAACTCTGTTAGTTGAGGACACACATCACAAATAAGTTTCTGAGAATGCTTCTGTCTAGATTTTATATGAAGATATCCCCTTTCCAACGAATCCCTCTAAGCTATCCAAATATCCACCTGCAGATTCTACAAAAAGAGTGTTTCCAAAATGCTGTATCAAAACAAAGTTTCAACTCTGTTAGTTGAGGACACACATCACAAATAAGTTTCTGAGGATGCTTCTGTCTAGTTTTTATTCGAAGATATTTCCTTTCTCACCATAGGCCTGAAAGCGCTTGAAATGTCCACTTCCAGATACTACAGAATGAGTGTTTCAAACCTGCTCTATAAAAGTGAATGTTCAATTCCGTGACTTCAATGCAAACATCAGAAAGAAGTTCCTGAGAATGCTTCTCTCTAGATTTTATACGTAATCCCGCTTCCAACGAAATCCTCAGAGCCATCCGAATATCCACTTTCTGATTCCACAAAAAGAGTGTTTTAAAACGGCTCTGTAAAAACAAAAGTTCAACTCTGTTAGTTGAATACACACATCACAAACAAGTTTCTGAGAATGCTTCTGTCTAGTTTTTATGGGAAGATATTTCCTTTTTCACCATAGGCCTCAAAGCGCTCGAAATGTCCGCTTCCAGATAGTGCAGAAAGAGTGTTTCAAACGTGCTCTATAAAAGGGAATATTCAACTCTGTGACTTGAATGGAAACATCACAAAGCAGTTTCTGAGAATGCTTCCCTCTAGGATTTTATATGGAGATATTCCCTTTTCCAACGAAATCTTCAAATCTATCTAAATATCAACTTGCAGATTCTACTCAAGGAATGTTTCCAAAATGCTGTATCCAGGCAATGGTTCAACTCTGTTAATTGAGGACATACAGCACAAAGAAGTTTCTGAGAATGCTTCTGTCTAGATTTTATATGAAGATATCCCGTTTCCAACGAAATCCTCAAAGCTATCCAAATATCCACTTGCAGATTCTACAAAAAGATTGTTTCAAAACTGCTGTGTCAAGAGGAAGGTTCAACTCTGTTACTTGAGTACACACATCAAAAAGAAGTTTCTGAGAATGCTTGTTTCTGGTTTTTATGAGAAGATATTTCCTTTTTCACCATAGGCCTCAAAGCGCTGCAAATGTCCACTTCCAAATATTACAAAAAGAGTGTTTCAAACCTGCTCTATGAAAGGAAGTTTTCAACTCTATGAGTGGAATGCAAACATCACAGAGAAGTTTCTGAGAATGCATCTGTCTTGAGCTTCTATGAAGAAATTCCCGTTTCCAACGAAATCTTAAAATCTATCCAAATATCCACCTGCAGATCCTACAAAAGGAGTGTTTCCAAAATGCTGTATCAAAACAAAGGTTCAACTGTGTTCGTTTAGGACACACATCACAAATAAGTTTCTGAGAATCCTTCTGTCTAGTTTTTATTTGAAGATATTTCCTTTCTCCCCGTAGGCCTGAAAGCGCTTGAAATGTCCACTTCCAGATACTACAGAAAGAGTGTTTCAAACCTGCACTCTGAAAAGGAATGTTCAATTCTGTGACTTGAATGCAAACATCAGAAAGAAGTTCCTGAGAATGCTTCTCTCTAGATTTTATACGTCATCCCGTTTCCAACGAAATCCACAAAGCTATCCAATTATCCACTTTCAGATTCCACAAAAAGAGTGTTTTAAAATTGCTCTGTAACAGAAATGTTCAACTCTGTTAGTTGAATACACACATCACAAACAAGTTTCTGAGACGGCTTCTGTCTAGTTTTTATGGGAAGATATTTCCTTTTAACCATAGGCCTCAAAGAGCTCGAAATATCCACTTCCAGGTAGTGCCGAAAGAGTGTTTCAAACCTACTCTATAAAAGGGAATATTCAACTCTGTGACTTGAATGCAAACATCACTGAGAAGTTTCTGAGAATGCTTCCGTCTAGATTTTCTATGAAGATATTCCCGTTTCCAACGAAATCTTCAAAGCTATCTAAATATCAACTTGCAGATTCTACTAAAGGAATGTCTCCAAAATGCTGTATCCAAACAAAGGTTCAGCTCTGTGAATTGAGGACATACAGCACAAAGAAGTTTCTGAGAATGCTCCTGTCTGGATTTTATATGAAGATAACCCGTTTCCAACGAAATCCTCAAAGCTATCCAAATATCCACTTGCAGATTCTACAAAAAGAGTGTTTCAAAACTCCTCTGTCAAAAGGATGGTTCAACACTGTTACATGAGTACACACAACACAAAGAAGTTTCTGAGAATGCTTCTTTCTGGTTTCTATGAGAAGATATTTCCTTTTTCACCATAGGACTCAAAGCGCTCGAAATGTCCTCTTCCAGGTAGTGCAGAAAGAGTGTTTCAAACCTGCTCTATGAAAGGAAGTGTACAACTCCATGAGCTGAATGCAAACATCACTGAGAAGTTTCTGAGAATGCTTCTGTTTGATTTTATATGAAGAAATTCCCGTTTCCAACGAAATCTTCAAAGCTATCCACATATCCACCTGCAGATTCTACAAAAGGAGTGTTTCCAAAATGCTGTATCAAAACCAAGGTTCCACTCTGTTAGTTGAGGACACACATCACAAATAAGTTTCTGAGAATGCTTCTGTCTAGATTTTACATGAAGATATCCCCTTTCCAACGAATCCCTCTAAGCTATCCAAATATCCACCTGCAGATTCTACAAAAAGAGTGTTTCCAAAATGCTGTATCAAAACAAAGTTTCAACTCTGTTAGTTGAGGACACACATCACAAATAAGTTTCTGAGGATGCTTCTGTCTAGTTTTTATTTGAAGATATTTCCTTTCTCACCATAGGCCTGAAAGCGCTTGAAATGTCCACTTCCAGATACTACAGAATGAGTGTTTCAAACCTGCTCTATGAAAGTGAATGTTCAATTCTGTGACTTCAATGCAAACATCACAAAGAAGTTCCTGAGAATGCTTCTTTCTAGATTTTATATGTAATCCCGCTTCCAACGAAATCCTCAAAGCCATCCGAATATCCACTTTCTGATTCCACAAAAAGACTGTTTTAAAACTGCTCTGTAGAAACAAAAGTTCAAGTCTGTTAGTTGAATACACACATCAAAAACAAGTTTCTGAGACGGATTCTGTCTAGTTTTCATGGGAAGATATTTCCTTTTAACCATAGGCCTCAAACAGCTCGAAATATCCACTTCCAGGTAGTGCCGAAAGAGTGTTTCAAACCTACTCTATAAAAGGGAATATTCAACTCTGTGACTTGAATGCAAACATCACAAAGCAGTTTATGAGAATGCTTCCGTCTAGATTTTCTATGAAGATATTCCCGTTTCCAACGAAATCTTCAAAGATATCTAAATATCAACTTGCAGATTCTACTAAAGGAATGTTTCCAAAATGCTGTATCCAAACAAAGGTTCAGCTCTGTGAATTGAGGACATACAGCACAAAGAAGTTTCTGAGAATGCTCCTGTCTGGATTTTATATGAAGATAACCCGTTTCCAACGAAATCCTCAAAGCTCTCCAAATATCCACTTGCAGATTCTACCAAAAGAGTGTTTCAAAACTGCTCTGTCAAAAGGAAGGTTCAACACTGTTACTTGAGTACACACAACACAAAGAAGTTTCTGAGAATGCTTCTTTCTGGTTTTTATGAGAAGATATTTCCTTTTTCACCATAGGCCTCAAAGCGCTCGAAATGTCCGCTTCCAGGTAGTGCAGAAAGAGTGTTTCAAACCTGCTCTATGAAAGGAAGTGTTCAACTCTACTGAGTTGAATGCAAACATCACAGAGATGTTTCCGAGAATGCTTCTGTCTTGATTTTATATGAAGATATTCCGGTTTCCAACGAAATCTTCAAAGCTATCCAAATATCCACCTGCAGATTCTACAAAAGGAGTGTTTCCAAAATGCTGTATCAAAACAAAGGTTCAACTCTGTTAGTTGAGGACACACATCACAAATAAGTTTCTGAGAATGCTTCTGTCTAGTTTTTATTTGAAGGTATTTCCTTTCTCTCCATAGGCCTGAAAGCGCTTGAAATGCCCACTTCCAGATACTAGAGAAAGAGTGTTTCAAACCTGCTCTATGAAAGGGAATGTTCAATTCTGTGACTTGAATGCAAACATCACAAAGAAGTTCCTGAGAATGCTTCTCTCTAGATATTATATGTCATCCCGTTTCCAACGAAATCCTCAAAGCTATCCAAATATCCACTTGCAGATTCTACAAAAAGAGTGTTTCAAAACTCCTCTGTCAAAAGGATGGTTCAACACTGTTACATGAGTACACACAACACAAAGAAGTTTCTGAGAATGCTTCTTTCTGGTTTCTATGAGAAGATATTTCCTTTTTCACCATAGGACTCAAAGCGCTCGAAATGTCCTCTTCCAGGTAGTGCAGAAAGAGTGTTTCAAACCTGCTCTATGAAAGGAAGTGTTCAACTCCATGAGCTGAATGCAAACATCACTGAGAAGTTTCTGAGAATGCTTCTGTTTGATTTTATATGAAGAAATTCCCGTTTCCAACGAAATCTTCAGAGCTATCCACATATCCACATGCAGATTCTACAAAAGGAGTGTTTCCAAAATGCTGTATCAAAACCAAGGTTCAACTCTGTTAGTTGAGGACACACATCACAAATAAGTTTCTGAGAATGCTTCTGTCTAGATTTTATATGAAGATATCCCCTTTCCAACGAATCCCTCTAAGCTATCAAAATATCCACCTGCAGATTCTACAAAAAGAGTGTTTCCAAAATGCTGTATCAAAACAAAGTTTTAACTCTGTTAGTTGAGGACACACATCACAAATAAGTTTCTGAGGATGCTTCTGTCTAGTTTTTATTCGAAGATATTTCCTTTCCCACCATAGGCCTGAAAGCGCTTGAAATGTCCACTTCCAGATACTACAGAATGAGTGTTTCAAACCTGCTCTATCAAAGTGAATGTTCAATTCTGTGACTTCAATGCAAACATCACAAAGAAGTTCCTGAGAATGCTTCTCTCTAGATTTTATATGTAATCCCGCTTCCAACGAAATCCTCAGAGCCATCCGAATATCCACTTTCTGATTCCACAAAAAGGGTGTTTTAAAACGGCTCTGTAAAAACAAAAGTTCAACTCTGTTAGTTGAATACACACATCACAAACAAGTTTCTGAGAATGCTTCTGTCTAGTTTTTATGGGAAGATATTTCCTTTTTCACCATAGGCCTCAAAGCGCTCGAAATGTCCACTTCCACATAGTGCAGAAAGATTGTTTCAAACGTGCTCTATAAAAGGGAATATTCAACTCTGTGACTTGAAGGGAAACATCATAAAGCAGTTTCTGAGAATGCTTCCCTCTTGATTTTATATGGAGATATTCCCTTTTCCAACGAAATCTTCAAATCTATCTAAATATCAACTTGCAGATTCTACTCAAGGAATGTTTCCAAAATGCTGTATCCAAGCAATGGTTCAACTCCTGTTAATTGAGGACATACAGCACAAAGAAGTTTCTGAGAATGCTTCTGTCTAGATTTTATATGAAGATATCCCGTTTCCAACGAAATCCTCAAAGCTATCCAAATATCCACTTGCAGATTCTACAAAAAGATTGTTTCAAAACGGCTGTGTCAAGAGGAAGGTTCAACTCTGTTACTTGAGTACACACATCAAAAAGAAGTTTCTGAGAATGCTTGTTTCTGGTTTTTATGAGAAGATATTTCCTTTTTCACCATAGGCCTCAAAGCGCTGCAAATGTCCACTTCCAAATATTACAAAAAGAGTGTTTCAAACCTGCTCTATGAAAGGAAGTTTTCAACTCTATGAGTGGAATGCAAACATCACAGAGAAGTTTCTGAGAATGCATCTGTCTTGAGTTTCTATGCAGAAATTCCCGTTTCCAATGAAATCTTAAAATCTATCCAAATATCCACCTGCAGATTCTACAAAAGGAGTGTTTCCAAAATGCTGTATCAAAACAAAGGTTCAACTGTGTTCGCTTAGGACACACATCACAAATAAGTTTCTGAGAATCCTTCTGTCTAGTTTTTATTTGAAGATATTTCCTTTCTCCCCATAGGCCTGAAAGCGCTTGAAATGTCCACTTCCAGATACTACAGAAAGAGTGTTTCAAACCTGCACTCTGAAAAGGAATGTCAATTCTGTGACTTGAATGCAAACATCAGAAAGAAGTTCCTGAGAATGCTTCTCTCTAGATTTTATACGTCATCCCGTTTCCAACGAAATCCACAAAGCTACCCAATTATCCACTTTCAGATTCCACAAAAAGAGTGTTTTAAAATTGCTCTGTAACAGAAATGTTCAACTCTGTTAGTTGAATACACACATCACAAACAAGTTTCTGAGACGGCTTCTGTCTAGTTTTTATGGGAAGATATTTCCTTTTAACCATAGGCCTCAAAGAGCTCGAAATATCCACTTCCAGGTAGTGCCGAAAGAGTGTTTCAAACCTACTCTATAAAAGGGAATATTCAACTCTGTGACTTGAATGCAAACATCACAAAGCAGTTTCTGAGAATGCTTCCGTCTAGATTTTCTATGAAGATATTCCCGTTTCCAACGAAATCTTCAAAGCTATCTAAATATCAACTTGCAGATTCTACTAAAGGAATGTCTCCAAAATGCTGTATCCAAACAAAGGTTCAGCTCTGTGAATTGAGGACATACAGCACAAAGAAGTTTCTGAGAATGCTCCTGTCTGGATTTTATAGGAAGATAACCCGTTTCCAACGAAATCCTCAAAGCTATCCAAATATCCACTTGCAGATTCTACCAAAAGAGTGTTTCAAAACTGCTCTGTCAAAAGGAAGGTTCAACACTGTTACTTGAGTACACACAACACAAAGAAGTTTCTGAGAATGCTTCTTTCTGGTTTTTATGAGAAGATATTTCCTTTTTCACCATAGGCCTCAAAGCGCTCGAAATGTCCGCTTCCAGGTAGTGCAGAAAGAGTGTTTCAAACCTGCTCTATGAAAGGAAGTGTTCAACTCTACTGAGTTGAATGCAAACATCACAGAGATGTTTCCGAGAATGCTTCTGTCTTGATTTTATAGGAAGATATTCCGGTTTCCAACGAAATCTTCAAAGCTATCCACATATCCACCTGCAGATTCTACAAAAGGAGTGTTTCCAAAATGCTGTATCAAAACAAAGGTTCAACTCTGTTAGTTGAGGACACACATCACAAATAAGTTTCTGAGAATGCTTCTGTCTAGATTTTATATGAAGATATCCCCTTTCCAACGAATCCCTCTAAGCTATCAAAATATCTACCTGCAGATTCTACAAAAAGAGTGTTTCCAAAATGCTGTATCAAAACAAAGTTTTAACTCTGTTAGTTGAGGACACACATCACAAATAAGTTTCTGAGGATGCTTCTGTCTAGTTTTTATTCGAAGATATTTCCTTTCCCACCATAGGCCTGAAAGCGCTTGAAATGTCCACTTCCAGATACTACAGAATGAGTGTTTCAAACCTGCTCTATCAAAGTGAATGTTCAATTCTGTGACTTCAATGCAAACATCACAAAGAAGTTCCTGAGAATGCTTCTCTCTAGATTTTATATGTAATCCCGCTTCCAACGAAATCCTCAGAGCCATCCGAATATCCACTTTCTGATTCCACAAAAAGAGTGTTTTAAAACGGCTCTGTAAAAACAAAAGTTCAACTCTGTTAGTTGAATACACACATCACAAACAAGTTTCTGAGAATGCTTCTGTCTAGTTTTTATGGGAAGATATTTCCTTTTTCACCATAGGCCTCAAAGCGCTCGAAATGTCCGCTTCCAGATAGTGCAGAAAGAGTGTTTCAAACGTGCTCTATAAAAGGGAATATTCAACTCTGTGACTTGAATGGAAACATCACAAAGCAGTTTCTGAGAATGCTTCCCTCTAGATTTTATATGGAGATATTCCCTTTTCCAACGAAATCTTCAAATCTATCTAAATATCAACTTGCAGATTCTACTCAAGGAATGTTTCCAAAATGCTGTATCCAGGCAATGGTTCAACTCTGTTAATTGAGGACATACAGCACAAAGAAGTTTCTGAGAATGCTTCTGTCTAGATTTTATATGAAGATATCCCGTTTCCAACGAAATCCTCAAAGCTATCCAAATATCCACTTGCAGATTCTACAAAAAGATTGTTTCAAAACTGCTGTGTCAAAAGGAAGGTTCAACTCTGTTACTTGAGTACACACATCAAAAAGAAGTTTCTGAGAATGCTTGTTTCTGGTTTTTATGAGAAGATATTTCCTTTTTCACCATAGGCCTCAAAGCGCTGCAAATGTCCACTTCCAAATATTACAAAAAGAGTGTTTCAAACCTGCTCTATGAAAGGAAGTTTTCAACTCTATGAGTGGAATGCAAACATCACAGAGAAGTTTCTGAGAATGCATCTGTCTTGAGCTTCTATGAAGAAATTCCCGTTTCCAACGAAATCTTAAAATCTATCCAAATATCCACCTGCAGATCCTACAAAAGGAGTGTTTCCAAAATGCTGTATCAAAACAAAGGTTCAACTGTGTTGGTTTAGGACACACATCACAAATAAGTTTCTGAGAATCCTTCTGTCTAGTTTTTATTTGAAGATATTTCCTTTCTCCCCGTAGGCCTGAAAGCGCTTGAAATGTCCACTTCCAGATACTACAGAAAGAGTGTTTCAAACCTGCACTCTGAAAAGGAATGTTCAATTCTGTGACTTGAATGCAAACATCAGAAAGAAGTTCCTGAGAATGCTTCTCTCTAGATTTTATACGTCATCCCGTTTCCAACGAAATCCACAAAGCTATCCAATTATCCACTTTCAGATTCCACAAAGAGTGTTTTAAAATTGCTCTGTAACAGAAATGTTCAACTCTGTTAGTTGAATACACACATCACAAACAAGTTTCTGAGACGGCTTCTGTCTAGTTTTTATGGGAAGATATTTCCTTTTAACCATAGGCCTCAAAGAGCTCGAAATATCCACTTCCAGGTAGTGCCGAAAGAGTGTTTCAAACCTACTCTATAAAAGGGAATATTCAACTCTGTGACTTGAATGCAAACATCACAAAGCAGTTTCTGAGAATGCTTCCGTCTAGATTTTCTATGAAGATATTCCCGTTTCCAACGAAATCTTCAAAGCTATCTAAATATCAACTTGCAGATTCTACTAAAGGAATGTCTCCAAAATGCTGTATCCAAACAAAGGTTCAGCTCTGTGAATTGAGGACATACAGCACAAAGAAGTTTCTGAGAATGCTCCTGTCTGGATTTTATATGAAGATAACCCGTTTCCAACGAAATCCTCAAAGCTCTCCAAATATCCACTTGCAGATTCTACCAAAAGAGTGTTTCAAAACTGCTCTGTCAAAAGGAAGGTTCAACACTGTTACTTGAGTACACACAACACAAAGTAAGTTTCTGAGAATGCTTCTTTCTGGTTTTTATGAGAAGATATTTCCTTTTTCACCATAGGCCTCAAAGCGCTCGAAATGTCCGCTTCCAGGTAGTGCAGAAAGAGTGTTTCAAACCTGCTCTATGAAAGGAAGTGTTCAACTCTACTGAGTTGAATGCAAACATCACAGAGATGTTTCCGAGAATGCTTCTGTCTTGATTTTATATGAAGATATTCCGGTTTCCAACGAAATCTTCAAAGCTATCCAAATATCCACCTGCAGATTCTACAAAAGGAGTGTTTCCAAAATGCTGTATCAAAACAAAGGTTCAACTCTGTTAGTTGAGGACACACATCACAAATAAGTTTCTGAGAATGCTTCTGTCTAGTTTTTATTTGAAGGTATTTCCTTTCTCTCCATAGGCCTGAAAGCGCTTGAAATGCCCACTTCCAGATACTAGAGAAAGAGTGTTTCAAACCTGCTCTATGAAAGGGAATGTTCAATTCTGTGACTTGAATGCAAACATCACAAAGAAGTTCCTGAGAATGCTTCTCTCTAGATATTATATGTCATCCCGTTTCCAACGAAATCCTCAAAGCTATCCAAATATCCACTTGCAGATTCTACAAAAAGAGTGTTTCAAAACTGCTCTGTCAAAAGGATGGTTCAACACTGTTACATGAGTACACACAACACAAAGAAGTTTCTGAGAATGCTTCTTTCTGGTTTCTATGAGAAGATATTTCCTTTTTCACCATAGGACTCAAAGCGCTCGAAATGTCCTCTTCCAGGTAGTGCAGAAAGAGTGTTTCAAACCGGCTCTATGAAAGGAAGTGTTCAACTCCATGAACTGAATGCAAACATCACTGAGAAGTTTCTGAGAATGCTTCTGTTTGATTTTATATGAAGAAATTCCCGTTTCCAACGAAATCTTCAGAGCTATCCACATATCCACATGCAGATTCTACAAAAGGAGTGTTTCCAAAATGCTGTATCAAAACCAAGGTTCAACTCTGTTAGTTGAGGACACACATCACAAATAAGTTTCTGAGAATGCTTCTGTCTAGATTCTATATGAAGATATCCCCTTTCCAACGAATCCCTCTAAGCTATCCAAATATCCACCTGCAGATTCTACAAAAAGAGTGTTTCCAAAATGCTGTATCAAAACAAAGTTTCAACTCTGTTAGTTGAGGACACACATCACAAATAAGTTTGAGGATGCTTCTGTCTAGTTTTTATTCGAAGATATTTCCTTTCTCACCATAGGCCTGAAAGCGCTTGAAATGTCCACTTCCAGATACTACAGAATGAGTGTTTCAAACCTGCTCTATCAAAGTGAATGTTCAATTCTGTGACTTCAATGCAAACATCACAAAGAAGTTCCTGAGAATGCTTCTCTCTAGATTTTATACGTAATCCCGCTTCCAACGAAATCCTCAGAGCCATCCGAATATCCACTTTCTGATTCCACAAAAAGAGTGTTTTAAAACGGCTCTGTAAAAACAAAAGTTCAACTCTGTTAGTTGAATACACACATCACAAACAAGTTTCTGAGAATGCTTCTGTCTAGTTTTTATGGGAAGATATTTCCTTTTTCACCATAGGCCTCAAAGCGCTCGAAATGTCCGCTTCCAGATAGTGCAGAAAGAGTGTTTCAAACGTGCTCTATAAAAGGGAATATTCAACTCTGTGACTTGAATGGAAACATCACAAAGCAGTTTCTGAGAATGCTTCCCTCTAGATTTTATATGGAGATATTCCCTTTTCCAACGAAATCTTCAAATCTATCTAAATATCAACTTGCAGATTCTACTCAAGGAATGTTTCCAAAATGCTGTATCCAGGCAATGGTTCAACTCTGTTAATTGAGGACATACAGCACAAAGAAGTTTCTGAGAATGCTTCTGTCTAGATTTTATATGAAGATATCCCGTTTCCAACGAAATCCTCAAAGCTATCCAAATATCCACTTGCAGATTCTACAAAAAGATTGTTTCAAAACTGCTGTGTCAAAAGGAAGGTTCAACTCTGTTACTTGAGTACACACATCAAAAAGAAGTTTCTGAGAATGCTTGTTTCTGGTTTTTATGAGAAGATATTTCCTTTTTCACCATAGGCCTCAAAGCGCTGCAAATGTCCACTTCCAAATATTACAAAAAGAGTGTTTCAAACCTGCTCTATGAAAGGAAGTTTTCAACTCTATGAGTGGAATGCAAACATCACAGAGAAGTTTCTGAGAATGCATCTGTCTTGAGCTTCTATGAAGAAATTCCCGTTTCCAACGAAATCTTAAAATCTATCCAAATATCCACCTGCAGATCCTACAAAAGGAGTGTTTCCAAAATGCTGTATCAAAACAAAGGTTCAACTGTGTTCGTTTAGGACACACATCACAAATAAGTTTCTGAGAATCCTTCTGTCTGGTTTTTATTTGAAGAGATTTCCTTTCTCCCCGTAGGCCTGAAAGCGCTTGAAATGTCCACTTCCAGATACTACAGAAAGAGTGTTTCAAACCTGCACTCTGAAAAGGAATGTTCAATTCTGTGACTTGAATGCAAACATCAGAAAGAAGTTCCTGAGAATGCTTCTCTCTAGATTTTATACGTCATCCCGTTTCCAACGAAATCCACAAAGCTATCCAATTATCCACTTTCAGATTCCACAAAAAGAGTGTTTTAAAATTGCTCTGTAACAGAAATGTTCAACTCTGGTAGTTGAATACACACATCACAAACAAGTTTCTGAGACGGCTTCTGTCTAGTTTTTATGGGAAGATATTTCCTTTTAACCATAGGCCTCAAAGAGCTCGAAATATCCACTTCCAGGTAGTGCCGAAAGAGTGTTTCAAACCTACTCTATAAAAGGGAATATTCAACTCTGTGACTTGAATGCAAACATCACAAAGCAGTTTCTGAGAATGCTTCCGTCTAGATTTTCTATGAAGATATTCCCGTTTCCAACGAAATCTTCAAAGCTATCTAAATATCAACTTGCAGATTCTACTAAAGGAATGTCTCCAAAATGCTGTATCCAAACAAAGGTTCAGCTCTGTGAATTGAGGACATACAGCACAAAGAAGTTTCTGAGAATGCTCCTGTCTGGATTTTATATGAAGATAACCCGTTTCCAACGAAATCCTCAAAGCTATCCAAATATCCACTTGCAGATTCTACCAAAAGAGTGTTTCAAAACTGCTCTGTCAAAAGGAAGGTTCAACACTGTTACTTGAGTACACACAACACAAAGAAGTTTCTGAGAATGCTTCTTTCTGGTTTTTATGAGAAGATATTTCCTTTTTCACCATAGGCCTCAAAGCGCTCAAAATGTCCGCTTCCAGGTAGTGCAGAAAGAGTGTTTCAAACCTGCTCTATGAAAGGAAGTGTTCAACTCTACTGAGTTGAATGCAAACATCACAGAGATGTTTCCGAGAATGCTTCTGTCTTGATTTTATATGAAGATATTCCGGTTTCCAACGAAATCTTCAAAGCTATCCAAATATCCACCTGCAGATTCTACAAAAGGAGTGTTTCCAAAATGCTGTATCAAAACAAAGGTTCAACTCTGTTAGTTGAGGACACACATCACAAGTAAGTTTCTGAGAATGCTTCTGTCTAGTTTTTATTTGAAGGTATTTCCTTTCTCTCCATAGGCCTGAAAGCGCTTGAAATGCCCACTTCCAGATACTTGAGAAAGAGTGTTTCAAACCTGCTCTATGAAAGGGAATGTTCAATTCTGTGACTTGAATGCAAACATCACAAAGAAGTTCCTGAGAATGCTTCTCTCTAGATATTATATGTCATCCCGTTTCCAACGAAATCCTCAAAGCTATCCAAATATCCACTTGCAGATTCTACAAAAAGAGTGTTTCAAAACTGCTCTGTCAAAAGGATGGTTCAACACTGTTACATGAGTACACACAACACAAAGAAGTTTCTGAGAATGCTTCTTTCTGGTTTCTATGAGAAGATATTTCCTTTTTCACCATAGGACTCAAAGCGCTCGAAATGTCCTCTTCCAGGTAGTGCAGAAAGAGTGTTTCAAACCTGCTCTATGAAAGGAAGTGTTCAACTCCATGAGCTGAATGCAAACATCACTGAGAAGTTTCTGAGAATGCTTCTGTTTGATTTTATATGAAGAAATTCCCGTTTCCAACGAAATCTTCAGAGCTATCCACATATCCACCTGCAGATTCTACAAAAGGAGTGTTTCCAAAATGCTGTATCAAAACCAAAGTTCAACTCTGTTAGTTGAGGACACACATCACAAATAAGTTTCTGAGAATGCTTCTGTCTAGATTTTATATGAAGATATCCCCTTTCCAATGAATCCCTCTAAGCTATCCAAATATCCACCTGCAGATTCTACAAAAAGAGTGTTTCCAAAATGCTGTATCAAAACAAAGTTTCAACTCTGTTAGTTGAGGACACACATCACAAATAAGTTTCTGAGGATGCTTCTGTCTAGTTTTTATTCGAAGATATTTCCTTTCTCACCATAGGCCTGAAAGCGCTTGAAATGTCCACTTCCAGATACTACAGAATGAGTGTTTCAAACCTGCTCTATAAAAGTGAATGTTCAATTCCGTGACTTCAATGCAAACATCAGAAAGAAGTTCCTGAGAATGCTTTTCTCTAGATTTTATATGTAATCCTGCTTCCAACGAAATCCTCAGAGCCATCCGAATATCCACTTTCTGATTCCACAAAAAGAGTGTTTTAAAACTGCTCTGTAAAAACAAAAGTTCAAATCTGTTAGTTGAATACACACGTCACAAACAAATGTCTGAGAATGCTTCTGTCTAGTTTTTATGGGAAGATATTTCCTTTTTCACCATAAGCCTCAAAGCGCTCGAAATGTCCACTTCCAGATAGTGCAGAAAGAGTGTTTCAAACGTGCTCTATAAAAGAGAATATTCAACTCTGTGACTTGAATGGAAACATCACAAAGCAGTTTCTGAGAATGCTTCCCTCTAGATTTTATATGGAGATATTCCCTTTTCCAACGAAATCTTCAAATCTATCTAAAGATCAACTTGCAGATTCTACTCAAGGAATGTTTCCAAAATGCTGTATCCAGGCAATGGTTCAACTCGGTTAATTGAGGACATACACCACAAAGAAGTTTCTGAGAATGCTTCTGTCTAGATTTTATATGAAGATATCCCGTTTCCAACGAAATCCTCAAAGCTATCCAAATATCCACTTGCAGATTCTACAAAAAGATTGTTTCAAAACTGCTGTGTCAAAAGGAAGGTTCAACTCTGTTACTTGAGTACACACATCAAAAAGAAGTTTCTGAGAATGCTTGTTTCTGGTTTTTATGAGAAGATATTTCCTTTTTCACCATAGGCCTCAAAGCGCTGCAAATGTCCACTTCCAAATATTACAAAAAGAGTGTTTCAAACCTGCTCTATGAAAGGAAGTTTTCAACTCTATGAGTGGAATGCAAACATCACAGAGAAGTTTCTGAGAATGCATCTGTCTTGAGTTTATATGCAGAAATTCCCGTTTCCAACGAAATCTTAAAATCTATCCAAATATCCACCTGCAGATCCTACAAAAGGAGTGTTTCCAAAATGCTGTATCAAAACAAAGGTTCAACTGTGTTCGTTTAGGACACACATCACAAATAAGTTTCTGAGAATCCTTCTGTCTAGTTTTTAATTTGAAGATATTTCCTTTCTCCCCATAGGCCTGAAAGCGCTTGAAATGTCCACTTCCAGATAGTACAGAAAGAGTGTTTCAAACCTGCACTATGAAAAGGAATGTTCAATTCTGTGACTTGAATGCAAACATCAGTAAGAAGTTTCTGAGAATGCTTTCTCTCTAGAATTTTATACGTCATCCCGTTTCCAACGAAATCCACAAAGCTATCCAATTATCCACTTTCAGATTCCACAGAAAGAGTGTTTTAAAATTGCTCTGTAACAGAAATGTTCAACTCTGGTAGTTGAATACACACATCACAAACAAGTTTCTGAGACGGCTTCTGTCTAGTTTTTATGGGAAGATATTTCCTTTTAACCATAGGCCTCAAAGAGCTCGAAATATCCACTTCCAGGTAGTGCCGAAAGAGTGTTTCAAACCTACTCTATAAAAGGGAATATTCAACTCTGTGACTTGAATGCAAACATCACAAAGCAGTTTCTGAGAATGCTTCCGTCTAGATTTTCTATGAAGATATTCCCGTTTCCAACGAAATCTTCAAAGCTATCTAAATATCAACTTGCAGATTCTACTAAAGGAATGTCTCCAAAATGCTGTATCCAAACAAAGGTTCAGCTCTGTGAATTGAGGACATACAGCACAAAGAAGTTTCTGAGAATGCTCTGTCTGGATTTTATAGGAAGATAACCCGTTTCCAACGAAATCCTCAAAGCTATCCAAATATCCACTTGCAGATTCTACCAAAAGAGTGTTTCAAAACTACTCTGTCAAAAGGAAGGTTCAACACTGTTACTTGAGTACACACAACACAAAGAAGTTTCTGAGAATGCTCTCTTTCTGGTTTTTATGAGAAGATATTTCCTTTTTCACCATAGGCCTCAAAGAGCTCGAAATGTCCGCTTCCAGGTAGGGCAGAAAGAGTGTTTCAAACCTGCTCTATGAAAGGAAGTGTTCAACTCTACTGAGTTGAATGCAAACATCACAGAGATGTTTCCGAGAATGCTTCTGTCTTGATTTTATATGAAGATATTCCGGTTTCCAACGAAATCTTCAAAGCTATCCAAATATCCACCTGCAGATTCTACAAAAGGAGTGTTTCCAAAATGCTGTATCAAAACAAAGGTTCAACTCTGTTAGTTGAGGACACACATCACAAATAAGTTTCTGAGAATGCTTCTGTCTAGTTTTTATTTGAAGGTATTTCCTTTCTCTCCATAGGCCTGAAAGCGCTTGAAATGCCCACTTCCAGATACTAGAGAAAGAGTGTTTCAAACCTGCTCTATGAAAGGGAATGTTCAATTCTGTGACTTGAATGCAAACATCACAAAGAAGTTCCTGAGAATGCTTCTCTCTAGATATTATATGTCATCCCGTTTCCAACGAAATCCTCAAAGCTATCCAAATATCCACTTGCAGATTCTACAAAAAGAGTGTTTCAAAACTGCTCTGTCAAAAGGATGGTTCAACACTGTTACATGAGTACACACAACACAAAGAAGTTTCTGAGAATGCTTCTTTCTGGTTTCTATGAGAAGATATTTCCTTTTTCACCATAGGACTCAAAGCGCTCGAAATGTCCTCTTCCAGGTAGTGCAGAAAGAGTGTTTCAAACCGGCTCTATGAAAGGAAGTGTTCAACTCCATGAACTGAATGCAAACATCACTGAGAAGTTTCTGAGAATGCTTCTGTTTGATTTTATATGAAGAAATTCCCGTTTCCAACGAAATCTTCAGAGCTATCCACATATCCACCTGCAGATTCTACAAAAGGAGTGTTTCCAAAATGCTGTATCAAAACCAAAGTTCAACTCTGTTAGTTGAGGACACACATCACAAATAAGATTCTGAGAATGCTTCTGTCTAGATTCTATATGAAGATATCCCCTTTCCAACGAATCCCTCTAAGCTATCCAAATATCCACCTGCAGATTCTACAAAAAGAGTGTTTCCAAAATGCTGTATCAAAACAAAGTTTCAACTCTGTTAGTTGAGGACACACATCACAAATAAGTTTGAGGATGCTTCTGTCTAGTTTTTATTCGAAGATATTTCCTTTCTCACCATAGGCCTGAAAGCGCTTGAAATGTCCACTTCCAGATACTACAGAATGAGTGTTTCAAACCTGCTCTATCAAAGTGAATGTTCAATTCTGTGACTTCAATGCAAACATCACAAAGAAGTTCCTGAGAATGCTTCTCTCTAGATTTTATATGTAATCCCGCTTCCAACGAAATCCTCAGAGCCATCCGAATATCCACTTTCTGATTCCACAAAAAGAGTGTTTTAAAACGGCTCTGTAAAAACAAAAGTTCAACTCTGTTAGTTGAATACACACATCACAAACAAGTTTCTGAGAATGCTTCTGTCTAGTTTTTATGGGAAGATATTTCCTTTTTCACCATAGGCCTCAAAGCGCTCGAAATGTCCACTTCCAGATAGCGCAGAAAGAGTGTTTCAAACGTGCTCTATAAAAGGGAATATTCAACTCTGTGACTTGAAAGGAAACATCACAAAGCAGTTTCTGAGAATGCTTCCCTCTAGATTTTATATGGAGATATTCCGTTTTCGAACGAAATCTTCAAATCTATCTAAATATCAACTTGCAGATTCTACTCAAGGAATGTTTCCAAAATGCTGTATGCAAGCAATGGTTCAACTCTGTTAATTGAGGTCATACAGCACAAAGAAGTTTCTGAGAATGCTTCTGTCTAGATTTTATATGAAGATATCCCGTTTCCAACGAAATCCTCAAAGCTATCCAAATATCCACTTGCAGATTCTACAAAAAGATTGTTTCAAAACTGCTGTGTCAAAAGGAAGGTTCAACTCTGTTACTTGAGTACACACATCAAAAAGAAGTTTCTGAGAATGCTTGTTTCTGGTTTTTATGAGAAGATATTTCCTTTTTCACCATAGGCCTCAAAGCGCTGCAAATGTCCACTTCCAAATATTACAAAAAGAGTGTTTCAAACCTGCTCTATGAAAGGAAGTTTTCAACTCTATGAGTGGAATGCACACATCACAGAGAAGTTTCTGAGAATGCATCTGTCTTGAGTTTCTATGCAGAAATTCCCGTTTCCAACGAAATCTTAAAATCTATCCAAATATCCACCTGCAGATCCTACAAAAGGAGTGTTTCCAAAATGCTGTATCAAAACAAAGGTTCAACTGTGTTCGTTTAGGACACACATCACAAATAAGTTTCTGAGAATCCTTCTGTCTAGTTTTTATTTGAAGATATTTCCTTTCTCCCCGTAGGCCTGAAAGCGCTTGAAATGTCCACTTCCAGATACTACAGAAAGAGTGTTTCAAACCTGCACTCTGAAAAGGAATGTTCAATTCTGTGACTTGAATGCAAACATCAGAAAGAAGTTCCTGAGAATGCTTCTCTCTAGATTTTATACGTCATCCCGTTTCCAACGAAATCCACAAAGCTATCCAATTATCCACTTTCAGATTCCACAGAAAGAGTGTTTTAAAATTGCTCTGTAACAGAAATGTTCAACTCTGGTAGTTGAATACACACATCACAAACAAGTTTCTGAGACGGCTTCTGTCTAGTTTTTATGGGAAGATATTTCCTTTTAACCATAGGCCTCAAAGAGCTCGAAATATCCACTTCCAGGTAGTGCCGAAAGAGTGTTTCAAACCTACTCTATAAAAGGGAATATTCAACTCTGTGACTTGAATGCAAACATCACAAAGCAGTTTCTGAGAATGCTTCCGTCTAGATTTTCTATGAAGATATTCCCGTTTCCAACGAAATCTTCAAAGCTATCTAAATATCAACTTGCAGATTCTACTAAAGGAATGTCTCCAAAATGCTGTATCCAAACAAAGGTTCAGCTCTGTGAATTGAGGACATACAGCACAAAGAAGTTTCTGAGAATGCTCTTGTCTGGATTTTATATGAAGATAACCCGTTTCCAACGAATTCCTCAAAGCTCTCCAAATATCCACTTGCAGATTCTACCAAAAGAGTGTTTCAAAACTGCTCTGTCAAAAGGAAGGTTCAACACTGTTACTTGAGTACACACAACACAAAGAAGTTTCTGAGAATGCTTCTTTCTGGTTTTTATGAGAAGATATTTCCTTTTTCACCATAGGCCTCAAAGCGCTCGAAATGTCCGCTTCCAGGTAGTGCAGAAAGAGTGTTTCAAACCTGCTCTATGAAAGGAAGTGTTCAACTCTACTGAGTTGAATGCAAACATCACAGAGATGTTTCCGAGAATGCTTCTGTCTTGATTTTATATGAAGATATTCCGGTTTCCAACGAAATCTTCAAAGCTATCCAAATATCCACCTGCAGATTCTACAAAAGGAGTGTTTCCAAAATGCTGTATCAAAACAAAGGTTCAACTCTGTTAGTTGAGGACACACATCACAAATAAGTTTCTGAGAATGCTTCTGTCTAGTTTTTATTTGAAGGTATTTCCTTTCTCTCCATAGGCCTGAAAGCGCTTGAAATGCCCACTTCCAGATACTAGAGAAAGAGTGTTTCAAACCTGCTCTATGAAAGGGAATGTTCAATTCTGTGACTTGAATGCAAACATCACAAAGAAGTTCCTGAGAATGCTTCTCTCTAGATATTATATGTCATCCCGTTTCCAACGAAATCCTCAAAGCTATCCAAATATCCACTTGCAGATTCTACAAAAAGAGTGTTTCAAAACTCCTCTGTCAAAAGGATGGTTCAACACTGTTACATGAGTACACACAACACAAAGAAGTTTCTGAGAATGCTTCTTTCTGGTTTCTATGAGAAGATATTTCCTTTTTCACCATAGGACTCAAAGCGCTCGAAATGTCCTCTTCCAAGTAGTGCAGAAAGAGTGTTTCAAACCTGCTCTATGAAAGGAAGTGTACAACTCCATGAGCTGAATGCAAACATCACTGAGAAGTTTCTGAGAATGCTTCTGTTTGATTTTATATGAAGAAATTCCCGTTTCCAACGAAATCTTCAGAGCTATCCACATATCCACATGCAGATTCTACAAAAGGAGTGTTTCCAAAATGCTGTATCAAAACCAAGGTTCAACTCTGTTAGTTGAGGACACACATCACAAATAAGTTTCTGAGAATGCTTCTGTCTAGATTCTATATGAAGATATCCCCTTTCCAACGAATCCCTCTAAGCTATCCAAATATCCACCTGCAGATTCTACAAAAAGAGTGTTTCCAAAATGCTGTATCAAAACAAAGTTTCAACTCTGTTAGTTGAGGACACACATCACAAATAAGTTTGAGGATGCTTCTGTCTAGTTTTTATTTGAAGATATTTCCTTTCTCACCATAGGCCTGAAAGCGCTTGAAATGTCCACTTCCAGATCCTACAGAATGAGTGTTTCAAACCTGCTCTATCAAAGTGAATGTTCAATTCTGTGACTTCAATGCAAACATCACAAAGAAGTTCCTGAGAATGCTTCTCTCTAGATTTTATATGTAATCCCGCTTCCAACGAAATCCTCAGAGCCATCCGAATATCCACTTTCTGATTCCACAAAAAGAGTGTTTTAAAACGGCTCTGTAAAAACAAAAGTTCAACTCTGTTAGTTGAATACACACATCACAAACAAGTTTCTGAGAATGCTTCTGTCTAGTTTTTATGGGAAGATATTTCCTTTTTCACCATAGGCCTCAAAGCGCTCGAAATGTCCACTTCCAGATAGTGCAGAAAGAGTGTTTCAAACGTGCTCTATAAAAGGGAATATTCAACTCTGTGACTTGAATGGAAACATCACAAAGCAGTTTCTGAGAATGCTTCCCTCTAGATTTTATATGGAGATATTCCCTTTTCCAACGAAATCTTCAAATCTATCTAAATATCAACTTGCAGATTCTACTCAAGGAATGTTTCCAAAATGCTGTATCCAAGCAATGGTTCAACTCTGTTAATTGAGGACATACAGCACAAAGAAGTTTCTGAGAATGCTTCTGTCTAGATTTTATATGAAGATATCCCGTTTCCAATGAAATCCTCAAAGCTATCCAAATATCCACTTGCAGATTCTACAAAAAGATTGTTTCAAAACTGCTGTGTCAAGAGGAAGGTTCAACTCTGTTACTTGAGTACACACATCAAAAAGAAGTTTCTGAGAATGCTTGTTTCTGGTTTTTATGAGAAGATATTTCCTTTTTCACCATAGGCCTCAAAGCGCTGCAAATGTCCACTTCCAAATATTACAAAAAGAGTGTTTCAAACCTGCTCTATGAAAGGAAGTTTTCAACTCTATGAGTGGAATGCAAACATCACAGAGAAGTTTCTGAGAATGCATCTGTCTTGAGTTTATATGCAGAAATTCCCGTTTCCAACGAAATCTTAAAATCTATCCAAATATCCACCTGCAGATCCTACAAAAGGAGTGTTTCCAAAATGCTGTATCAAAACAAAGGTTCAACTGTGTTCGTTTAGGACACACATCACAAATAAGTTTCTGAGAATCCTTCTGTCTAGTTTTTATTTGAAGATATTTCCTTTCTCCCCGTAGGCCTGAAAGCGCTTGAAATGTCCACTTCCAGATACTACAGAAAGAGTGTTTCAAACCTGCACTCTGAAAAGGAATGTTCAATTCTGTGACTTGAATGCAAACATCAGAAAGAAGTTCCTGAGAATGCTTCTCTCTAGATTTTATACGTCATCCCGTTTCCAACGAAATCCACAAAGCTATCCAATTATCCACTTTCAGATTCCACAGAAAGAGTGTTTTAAAATTGCTCTGTAACAGAAATGTTCAACTCTGTTAGTTGAATACACACATCACAAACAAGTTTCTGAGACGGCTTCTGTCTAGTTTTTATGGGAAGATATTTCCTTTTAACCATAGGCCTCAAAGAGCTCGAAATATCCACTTCCAGGTAGTGCCGAAAGAGTGTTTCAAACCTACTCTATAAAAGGGAATATTCAACTCTGTGACTTGAATGCAAACATCACAAAGCAGTTTCTGAGAATGCTTCCGTCTAGATTTTCTATGAAGATATTCCCGTTTCCAACGAAATCTTCAAAGCTATCTAAATATCAACTTGCAGATTCTACTAAAGGAATGTCTCCAAAATGCTGTATCCAAACAAAGGTTCAGCTCTGTGAATTGAGGACATACAGCACAAAGAAGTTTCTGAGAATGCTCCTGTCTGGATTTTATAGGAAGATAACCCGTTTCCAACGAAATCCTCAAAGCTATCCAAATATCCACTTGCAGATTCTACCAAAAGAGTGTTTCAAAACTACTCTGTCAAAAGGAAGGTTCAACACTGTTACTTGAGTACACACAACACAAAGAAGTTTCTGAGAATGCTTCTTTCTGGTTTATATGAGAAGCATATTTCCTTTTTCACCATAGGACTCAAAGCGCTCGAAATGTCCTCTTCCAGGTAGTGCAGAAAGAGTGTTTCAAACCGGCTCTATGAAGGGAAGTGTTCAACTCCATGAACTGAATGCAAACATCACTGAGAAGTTTCTGAGAATGCTTCTGTTTGATTTTATATGAAGAAATTCCCGTTTCCAACGAAATCTTCAGAGCTATCCACATATCCACCTGCAGATTCTACAAAAGGAGTGTTTCCAAAATGCTGTATCAAAACCAAAGTTCAACTCTGTTAGTTGAGGACACACATCACAAATAAGTTTCTGAGAATGCTTCTGTCTAGATTCTATATGAAGATATCCCCTTTCCAACGAATCCCTCTAAGCTATCCAAATATCCACCTGCAGATTCTACAAAAAGAGTGTTTCCAAAATGCTGTATCAAAACAAAGTTTCAACTCTGTTAGTTGAGGACACACATCACAAATAAGTTTGAGGATGCTTCTGTCTAGTTTTTATTCGAAGATATTTCCTTTCTCACCATAGGCCTGAAAGCGCTTGAAATGTCCACTTCCAGATACTACAGAATGAGTGTTTCAAACCTGCTCTATCAAAGTGAATGTTCAATTCTGTGACTTCAATGCAAACATCACAAAGAAGTTCCTGAGAATGCTTCTCTCTAGATTTTATATGTAATCCCGCTTCCAACGAAATCCTCAGAGCCATCCGAATATCCACTTTCTGATTCCACAAAAAGAGTGTTTTAAAACGGCTCTGTAAAAACAAAAGTTCAACTCTGTTAGTTGAATACACACATCACAAACAAGTTTCTGAGAATGCTTCTGTCTAGTTTTTATGGGAAGATATTTCCTTTTTCACCATAGGCCTCAAAGCGCTCGAAATGTCCACTTCCAGATAGTGCAGAAAGAGTGTTTCAAACGTGCTCTATAAAAGGGAATATTCAACTCTGACTTGAATGGAAACATCACAAAGCAGTTTCTGAGAATGCTTCCCTCTAGATTTTATATGGAGATATTCCGTTTTCGAACGAAATCTTCAAATCTATCTAAATATCAACTTGCAGATTCTACTCAAGGAATGTTTCCAAAATGCTGTATGCAAGCAATGGTTCAACTCTGTTAATTGAGGTCATACAGCACAAAGAAGTTTCTGAGAATGCTTCTGTCTAGATTTTTATATGAAGATATCCCGTTTCCAACGAAATCCTCAAAGCTATCCAAATATCCACTTGCAGATTCTACAAAAAGATTGTTTCAAAACTGCTGTGTCAAGAGGAAGGTTCAACTCTGTTACTTGAGTACACACATCAAAAAGAAGTTTCTGAGAATGCTTGTTTCTGGTTTTTATGAGAAGATATTTCCTTTTTCACCATAGGCCTCAAAGCGCTGCAAATGTCCACTTCCAAATATTACAAAAAGAGTGTTTCAAACCTGCTCTATGAAAGGAAGTTTTCAACTCTATGAGTGGAATGGAAACATAACAGAGAAGTTTCGGAGAATGCATCTGTCTTGAGTTTATATGAAGAAATTCCCGTTTCCAACGAAATCTTAAAATCTATCCAAATATCCACCTGCAGATTCTACAAAGGGAGTGTTTCCAAAATGCTGTATCAAAACAAAGGTTCAACTGTGTTCGTTTAGGACACACATCACCAATAAGTTTCTGAGAATCCTTCAGTCTAGTTTTTATTTGAAGATATTTCCTTTCTCCCCATAGGCCTGAAAGCGCTTGAAATGTCCACTTCCAGATAGTACAGAAAGAGTGTTTCAAACCTGCACTATGAAAAGGAATGTTCAATTCTGTGACTTGAATGCAAACATCAGAAAGAAGTTTCTGAGAATGCTTCTCTCTAGATTTTATACGTCATCCCGTTTCCAACGAAATCCACAAAGCTATCCAATTATCCACTTTCAGATTCCACAAAAGAGTGTTTTAAAACTGCTCTGTAAAAAGAAATGTTCAACGCTCTTAGTTGAATACACACATCTCAAACAAGTTTCTGAGAAGGCTTCCGTCTAGTTTTTATGGGAAGATATTTCCTTTTTCACCATAGGCCTCAAAGCGCTCGAAATCTCCACTTCCAGGGAGTGCAGAAAGAGTGTTTCAAACCTGCTCTGTAAAAGAATATTTAACTCTGTGACTTCAATGCAAACATCACAAAGCAGTTTCTGACAATGCTTCCGTCTAGATTTTTTATGAAGATATTCCCGTTTCCAACGAAATCTTCAAAGCTATCTAAATATCAACTTGCAGATTCTACTAAAGGAATGTTTCCAAAATGCTGTATCCAAACAAAGGTTCAACTCTGTGAATTGAGGACATACAGCACAAAGAAGTTTCTGAGAATGCTTCTGTCTAGATTTAATATGAAGATAACCCGTTTCCAACGAAATCCTCAAAGCTATCCAAATATCCACTTGCAGATTCTACAAAAAGAGTGTTTCAAACTGCTCTGTCAAAAGGATGGTTCAACACTGTTACATGAGTACACACAACACAAAGAAGTTTCTGAGAACGCTTCTTTCTGGTTTTTATGAGAGGATATTTCCTTTTTCACCATAGGCCTCAAAGCGCTCGAAATGTCCACTTCCAGGTAGTGCAGAAAGAGTGTTTCAAACCTGCTCTATGAAAGGAAGTGTTCAACTCCATGAGCTGAATGCAAACATCACAGAGAAGTTCCTGAGAATGCTTCTGTTTGATTTTATATGAAGAAATTCCCGTTTCCAACGAAATCTTCAAAGCTATCCACATATCCACCTGCAGATTCTTCAAAAGGAGTGTTTCCAAAATGCTGTATCAAAACCAAGGTTCAACTCTGTTAGTTGAGGACACACATCACAAATAAGTTTCTGAGAATGCTTCTGTCTAGATTTTATATGAATTTATCCCCTTTCCAACGAATCCCTCTAAGCTATCCAAGTATCCACCTGCAGATTCTACAAAAAGAGTGTTTCCAAAATGCTGTATCAAAACAAAGTTTCAACTCTGTTAGTTGAGGACACACATCACAAATAAGTTTCTGAGGATGCTTCTGTCTAGTTTTAATTTGAAGATATTTCCTTTCTCCCCATAGGCCTGAAAGCACTTGAAATGTCCACTTCCAGATACTACAGAATGAGTGTTTCAAACCTGCTCTATCAAAGTGAATGTTCAATTCTGTGACTTCAATGCAAACATCACAAAGTAGTTCCTGAGAATGCTTCTCTCTAGATTTTATATGTAATCCCGCTTCCAACGAAATCCTCAAAGCCATCCGAATATCCACTTTCTGATTCCACAAAAAGATTGTTTTAAAACTGCTCTGTAAAAACAAAAGTTCAAGTCTGTTAGTTGAATACACACATCACAAACAAGTTTCTGAGAATGCTTCTGTCTAGTTTTTATGGGAAGATATTTCCTTTTTCACCATAGGCCTCAAAGCGCTCGAAATGTCCACTTCCAGATAGTGCAGAAAGAGTGTTTCAAACGTGCTCTATAAAAGAGAATATTCAACTCTGTGACTTGAATGGAAACATCACAAAGCAGTTTCTGAGAATGCCTCCGTCTAGATTTTATATGAAGATATTCCCGTTTCCAACGAAATCTTCAAAGCTATCTAAATATCAACTTGCAGATTCTACTAAAGGAATGTTTCCAAAATGCTGTATCCAAGCAATGGTTCAACTCTGTTAATTGAGGACATACAGCACAAAGAAGTTTCTGAGAATGCTTCTGTCTAGATTTTATATGAAGATATCCCGTTTCCAACGAAATCCTCAAAGCTATCCAAATATCCACTTGCAGATTCTACAAAAAGATTGTTTCAAAACTGCTGTGTCAAAAGGAAGGTTCAACTCTGTTACTTGAGTACACACATCAAAAAGCAGTTTCTGAGAATGCTTGTTTCTGGTTTTTATGAGAAGATATTTCCTTTTTCACCATAGGCCTCAAAGCGCTGCAAATGTCCACTTCCAAATATTACAAAAAGAGTGTTTCAAACCTGCTCTATGAAAGGAAGTTTTCAACTCTGTGAGTGGAATGCAAACATCACAGAGAAGTTTCTGAGAATGCATCTGTCTTGAGTTTATATGAAGAAATTCCCGTTTCCAATGAAATCTTAAAATCTATCCAAATATCCACCTGCAGATTCTACAAAAGGAGTGTTTCCAAAATGCTGTATCAAAACAAAGGTTCAACTGTGTTCGTTTAGGACACACATCACAAATAAGTTTCTGAGAATCCTTCTGTCTAGTTTTTATTTCAAGATATTTCCTTTCTCCCCACAGGCTTGAAAGCGCTTGAAATGTCCACTTCCAGATACTACAGAGTGTTTCAAACCTGCACTATGAAAAGGAATGTTCAATTCTGTGACTTGAATGCAAACATCAGAAAGAAGTTCCTGAGAATGCTTCTCTCTAGATTTTAAACGTAATCCCGTTTCCAACGAAATCCACAAAGCTATCCAATTATCCACTTTCAGATTCCACCAAAAGACTGTTTTAAAACTGCTCTGTAAAAAGAAATGTTCAACGCTCTTAGTTGAATACACACATCTCAAACAAGTTTCTGAGAAGGCTTCCGTCTAGTTTTTATGGGAAGATATTTCCTTTTTCACCATAGGCCTCAAAGCGCTCGAAATCTCCACTTCCAGGGAGTTTAGAAAGAGTGTTTCAAACCTGCTCTATAAAAGAATATTTAACTCTGTGACTTGAATGCAAACATCACAGAGCAGTTTCTGACAATGCTTCCGTCTAGATTTTTTATGAAGATATTCCCGTTTCCAACGAAATCTTCAAAGCTATCTAAATATCAACTTGCAGATTCTACTAAAGGAATGTTTCCAAAATGCTGTATCCAAACAAAGGTTCAACTCTGTGAATTGAGGACATACAGCACAAAGAAGTTTCTGAGAATGCTTCTGTCTAGATTTAATATGAAGATAACCCGTTTCCAACGAAATCCTCAAAGCTATCCAAATATCCACTGGCAGATTCTACAAAAAGAGTGTTTCAAAACTGCTCTGTCAAAAGGATGGTTCAACACTGTTACATGAGTACACACAACACAAAGAAGTTTCTGAGAACGCTTCTTTCTGGTTTTTATGAGAGGATATTTCCTTTTTCACCATAGGCCTCAAAGCGCTCGAAATGTCCACTTCCAGGTAGTGCAGAAAGAGTGTTTCAAACCTGCTCTATGAAAGGAAGTGTTCAACTCCATGAGCTGAATGCAAACATCACAGAGAAGTTCCTGAGAATGCTTCTGTTTGATTTTATATGAAGAAATTCCCGTTTCCAACGAAATCTTCAAAGCTATCCACATATCCACCTGCAGATTCTTCAAAAGGAGTGTTTCCAAAATGCTGTATCAAAACCAAGGTTCAACTCTGTTAGTTGAGGACACACATCACAAATAAGTTTCTGAGAATGCTTCTGTCTAGATTTTATATGAAGATATCCCCTTTCCAACGAATCCCTCTAAGCTATCCAAATATCCACCTGCAGATTCTACAAAAAGAGTGTTTACAAAATGCTGTATCAAAACAAAGTTTCAACTCTGTTAGTTGAGGACACACATCACAAATAAGTTTCTGAGGATGCCTCTGTCTAGTTTTTATTTGAAGATATTTCCTTTCTCACCATAGGCCTGAAAGCGCTTGAAATGTCCACTTCCAGATCCTACAGAATGAGTGTTTCAAACCTGCTCTATCAAAGTGAATGTTCAATTCTGTGACTTCAATGCAAACATCACAAAGAAGTTCCTGAGAATGCTTCTCTCTAGATTTTATATGTAATCCCGCTTCCAACGAAATCCTCAGAGCCATCCGAATATCCACTTTCTGATTCCACAAAAAGAGTGTTTTAAAACGGCTCTGTAAAAACAAAAGTTCAACTCTGTTAGTTGAATACACACATCACAAACAAGTTTCTGAGAATGCTTCTGTCTAGTTTTTATGGGAAGATATTTCCTTTTTCACCATAGGCCTCAAAGCGCTCGAAATGTCCACTTCCAGATAGTGCAGAAAGAGTGTTTCAAACGTGCTCTATAAAAGGGAATATTCAACTCTGTGACTTGAATGGAAACATCACAAAGCAGTTTCTGAGAATGCTTCCCTCTAGATTTTATATGGAGATATTCCGTTTTCGAACGAAATCTTCAAATCTATCTAAATATCAACTTGCAGATTCTACTCAAGGAATGTTTCCAAAATGCTGTATGCAAGCAATGGTTCAACTCTGTTAATTGAGGTCATACAGCACAAAGAAGTTTCTGAGAATGCTTCTGTCTAGATTTTATATGAAGATATCCCGTTTCCAACGAAATCCTCAAAGCTATCCAAATATCCACTTGCAGATTCTACAAAAAGATTGTTTCAAAACTGCTGTGTCAAAAGGAAGGTTCAACTCTGTTACTTGAGTACACACATCAAAAAGAAGTTTCTGAGAATGCTTGTTTCTGGTTTTTATGAGAAGATATTTCCTTTTTCACCATAGGCCTCAAAGCGCTGCAAATGTCCACTTCCAAATATTACAAAAAGAGTGTTTCAAACCTGCTCTATGAAAGGAAGTTTTCAACTCTATGAGTGGAATGCAAACATCACAGAGAAGTTTCTGAGAATGCATCTGTCTTGAGTTTATATGAAGAAATTCCCGTTTCCAACGGAAATCTTAAAATCTATCCAAATATCCACCTGCAGATTCTACAAAGGGAGTGTTTCCAAAATGCTGTATCAAAACAAAGGTTCAACTGTGTTCGTTTAGGACACACATCACCAATAAGTTTCTGAGAATCCTTCTGTCTACTTTTTATTTCAAGATATTTCCTTTCTCCCCATAGGCTTGAAAGCGCTTGAAATGTCCACTTCCAGATACTACAGAGTGTTTCAAACCTGCACTATGAAAAGGAATGTTCAATTCTGTGACTTGAATGCAAACATCAGAAAGAAGTTCCTGAGAATGCTTCTCTCTAGATTTTATACGTCATCCCGCTTCCAACGAAATCCACAAAGCTATCCAATTATCCACTTTCAGATTCCACAAAGAGTGTTTTAAAATTGCTCTGTAACAGAAATGTTCAACTCTGTTAGTTGAATACACACATCACAAACAAGTTTCTGAGACGGCTTCTGTCTAGTTTTTATGGGAAGATATTTCCTTTTAACCATAGGCCTCAAAGAGCTCGAAATATCCACTTCCAGGTAGTGCCGAAAGAGTGTTTCAAACCTACTCTATAAAAGGGAATATTCAACTCTGTGACTTGAATGCAAACATCACAAAGCAGTTTCTGAGAATGCTTCCGTCTAGATTTTCTATGAAGATATTCCCGTTTCCAACGAAATCTTCAAAGCTATCTAAATATCAACTTGCAGATTCTACTAAAGGAATGTCTCCAAAATGCTGTATCCAAACAAAGGTTCAGCTCTGTGAATTGAGGACATACAGCACAAAGAAGTTTCTGAGAATGCTCCTGTCTGGATTTTATATGAAGATAACCCGTTTCCAACGAAATCCTCAAAGCTCTCCAAATATCCACTTGCAGATTCTACCAAAAGAGTGTTTCAAAACTGCTCTGTCAAAAGGAAGGTTCAACACTGTTACTTGAGTACACACAACACAAAGAAGTTTCTGAGAATGCTTCTTTCTGGTTTTTATGAGAAGATATTTCCTTTTTCACCATAGGCCTCAAAGCGCTCGAAATGTCCGCTTCCAGGTAGTGCAGAAAGAGTGTTTCAAACCTGCTCTATGAAAGGAAGTGTTCAACTCTACTGAGTTGAATGCAAACATCACAGAGATGTTTCCGAGAATGCTTCTGTCTTGATTTTATATGAAGATATTCCGGTTTCCAACGAAATCTTCAAAGCTATCCAAATATCCACCTGCAGATTCTACAAAAGGAGTGTTTCCAAAATGCTGTATCAAAACAAAGGTTCAACTCTGTTAGTTGAGGACACACATCACAAATAAGTTTCTGAGAATGCTTCTGTCTAGTTTTTATTTGAAGGTATTTCCTTTCTCTCCATAGGCCTGAAAGCGCTTGAAATGCCCACTTCCAGATACTAGAGAAAGAGTGTTTCAAACCTGCTCTATGAAAGGGAATGTTCAATTCTGTGACTTGAATGCAAACATCACAAAGAAGTTCCTGAGAATGCTTCTCTCTAGATTTTATACGTAATCCCGCTTCCAACGAAATCCTCAGAGCCATCCGAATATCCACTTTCTGATTCCACAAAAAGAGTGTTTTAAAACGGCTCTGTAAAAACAAAAGTTCAACTCTGTTAGTTGAATACACACATCACAAACAAGTTTCTGAGAATGCTTCTGTCTAGTTTTTATGGGAAGATATTTCCTTTTTCACCATAGGCCTCAAAGCGCTCGAAATGTCCGCTTCCAGATAGTGCAGAAAGAGTGTTTCAAACGTGCTCTATAAAAGGGAATATTCAACTCTGTGACTTGAATGGAAACATCACAAAGCAGTTTCTGAGAATGCTTCCCTCTAGATTTTATATGGAGATATTCCCTTTTCCAACGAAATCTTCAAATCTATCTAAATATCAACTTGCAGATTCTACTCAAGGAATGTTTCCAAAATGCTGTATCCAAGCAATGGTTCAACTCTGTTAATTGAGGACATACAGCACAAAGAAGTTTCTGAGAATGCTTCTGTCTAGATTTTATATGAAGATATCCCGTTTCCAACGAAATCCTCAAAGCTATCCAAATATCCACTTGCAGATTCTACAAAAAGATTGTTTCAAAACTGCTGTGTCAAAAGGAAGGTTCAACTCTGTTACTTGAGTACACACATCAAAAAGAAGTTTCTGAGAATGCTTGTTTCTGGTTTTTATGAGAAGATATTTCCTTTTTCACCATAGGCCTCAAAGCGCTGCAAATGTCCACTTCCAAATATTACAAAAAGAGTGTTTCAAACCTGCTCTATGAAAGGAAGTTTTCAACTCTATGAGTGGAATGCAAACATCACAGAGAAGTTTCTGAGAATGCATCTGTCTTGAGCTTCTATGAAGAAATTCCCGTTTCCAACGAAATCTTAAAATCTATCCAAATATCCACCTGCAGATCCTACAAAAGGAGTGTTTCCAAAATGCTGTATCAAAACAAAGGTTCAACTGTGTTCGTTTAGGACACACATCACAAATAAGTTTCTGAGAATCCTTCTGTCTAGTTTTTATTTGAAGATATTTCCTTTCTCCCCGTAGGCCTGAAAGCGCTTGAAATGTCCACTTCCAGATACTACAGAAAGAGTGTTTCAAACCTGCACTCTGAAAAGGAATGTTCAATTCTGTGACTTGAATGCAAACATCAGAAAGAAGTTCCTGAGAATGCTTCTCTCTAGATTTTATACGTCATCCCGTTTCCAACGAAATCCACAAAGCTATCCAATTATCCACTTTCAGATTCCACAAAAAGAGTGTTTTAAATTGCTCTGTAACAGAAATGTTCAACTCTGTTAGTTGAATACACACATCACAAACAAGTTTCTGAGACGGCTTCTGTCTAGTTTTTATGGGAAGATATTTCCTTTTAACCATAGGCCTCAAAGAGCTCGAAATATCCACTTCCAGGTAGTGCCGAAAGAGTGTTTCAAACCTACTCTATAAAAGGGAATATTCAACTCTGTGACTTGAATGCAAACATCACAAAGCAGTTTCTGAGAATGCTTCCGTCTAGATTTTCTATGAAGATATTCCCGTTTCCAACGAAATCTTCAAAGCTATCTAAATATCAACTTGCAGATTCTACTAAAGGAATGTCTCCAAAATGCTGTATCCAAACAAAGGTTCAGCTCTGTGAATTGAGGACATACAGCACAAAGAAGATTCTGAGAATGCTCCTGTCTGGATTTTATATGAAGATAACCAGTTTCCAACGAAATCCTCAAAGCTATCCAAATATCCACTTGCAGATTCTACCAAAAGAGTGTTTCAAAACTGCTCTGTCAAAAGGAAGGTTCAACACTGTTACTTGAGTACACACAACACAAAGAAGTTTCTGAGAATGCTTCTTTCTGGTTTTTATGAGAAGATATTTCCTTTTTCACCATAGGCCTCAAAGCGCTCGAAATGTCCGCTTCCAGGTAGTGCAGAAAGAGTGTTTCAAACCTGCTCTATGAAAGGAAGTGTTCAACTCTACTGAGTTGAATGCAAACATCACAGAGATGTTTCCGAGAATGCTTCTGTCTTGATTTTATATGAAGATATTCCGGTTTCCAACGAAATCTTCAAAGCTATCCAAATATCCACCTGCAGATTCTACAAAAGGAGTGTTTCCAAAATGCTGTATCAAAACAAAGGTTCAACTCTGTTAGTTGAGGACACACATCACAAATAAGTTTCTGAGAATGCTTCTGTCTAGTTTTTATTTGAAGGTATTTCCTTTCTCTCCATAGGCCTGAAAGCGCTTGAAATGCCCACTTCCAGATACTAGAGAAAGAGTGTTTCAAACCTGCTCTATGAAAGGGAATGTTCAATTCTGTGACTTGAATGCAAACATCACAAAGAAGTTCCTGAGAATGCTTCTCTCTAGATATTATATGTCATCCCGTTTCCAACGAAATCCTCAAAGCTATCCAAATATCCACTTGCAGATTCTACAAAAAGAGTGTTTCAAAACTCCTCTGTCAAAAGGATGGTTCAACACTGTTACATGAGTACACACAACACAAAGAAGTTTCTGAGAATGCTTCTTTCTGGTTTCTATGAGAAGATATTTCCTTTTTCACCATAGGACTCAAAGCGCTCGAAATGTCCTCTTCCAGGTAGTGCAGAAAGAGTGTTTCAAACCTGCTCTATGAAAGGAAGTGTACAACTCCATGAGCTGAATGCAAACATCACTGAGAAGTTTCTGAGAATGCTTCTGTTTGATTTTATATGAAGAAATTCCCGTTTCCAACGAAATCTTCAGAGCTATCCACATATCCACCTGCAGATTCTACAAAAGGAGTGTTTCCAAAATGCTGTATCAAAACCAAGGTTCAACTCTGTTAGTTGAGGACACACATCACAAATAAGTTTCTGAGAATGCTTCTGTCTAGATTTTATATGAAGATATCCCCTTTCCAACGAATCCCTCTAAGCTATCCAAATATCCACCTGCAGATTCTACAAAAAGAGTGTTTCCAAAATGCTGTATCAAAACAAAGTTTCAACTCTGTTAGTTGAGGACACACATCACAAATAAGTTTGAGGATGCTTCTGTCTAGTTTTTATTCGAAGATATTTCCTTTCTCACCATAGGCCTGAAAGCGCTTGAAATGTCCACTTCCAGATACTACAGAATGAGTGTTTCAAACCTGCTCTATCAAAGTGAATGTTCCATTCTGTGACTTCAATGCAAACATCACAAAGAAGTTCCTGAGAATGCTTCTCTCTAGATTTTATACGTAATCCCGCTTCCAACGAAATCCTCAGAGCCATCCGAATATCCACTTTCTGATTCCACAAAAAGAGTGTTTTAAAACGGCTCTGTAAAAACAAAAGTTCAACTCTGTTAGTTGAATACACACATCACAAACAAGTTTCTGAGAATGCTTCTGTCTAGTTTTTATGGGAAGATATTTCCTTTTTCACCATAGGCCTCAAAGCGCTCGAAATGTCCACTTCCAGATAGTGCCGAAAGAGTGTTTCAAACGTGCTCTATAAAAGAGAATATTCAACTCTGTGACTTGAATGGAAACATCACAGAGCAGTTTCTGAGAATGCCTCCGTCTAGATTTTATATGAAGATATTCCCGTTTCCAACGAAATCTTCAAATCTATCTAAATATCAACTTGCAGATTCTACTAAAGGAATGTTTCCAAAATGCTGTATCCAAGCAATGGTTCAACTCTGTTAATTGAGGACATACAGCACAAAGAAGTTTCTGAGAATGCTTCTGTCTAGATTTTATATGAAGATATCCCGTTTCCAACGAAATCCTCAAAACTATCCAAATATCCACTTGCAGATTCTACAAAAAGATTGTTTCAAAACTGCTGTGTCAAAAGGAAGGTTCAACTCTGTTACTTGAGTACACACAACAAAAAGCAGTTTCTGAGAATGCTTGTTTCTGGTTTTTATGAGAAGATATTTCCTTTTTCACCATAGGCCTCAAAGCGCTGCAAATGTCCACTTCCAAATATTACAAAAAGAGTGTTTCAAACCTGCTCTATGAAAGGAAGTTTTCAACTCTGTGAGTGGAATGCAAACATCACAGAGAAGTTTCTGAGAATGCATCTGTCTTGAGTTTATGTGAAGAAATTCCCGTTTCCAACGAAATCTTAAAATCTATCCAAATATCCACCTGCAGATTCTACAAAAGGAGTGTTTCCAAAATGCTGTATCAAAACAATGGTTCAACTGTGTTCGTTTAGGACACACATCACAAATAAGTTTCTGAGAATCCTTGTTTCTGGTTTTAATGAGAAGATATTTCCTTTCTCCCCATAGGCCTGAAAGCGCTTGAAATGTCCACTTCCAGATACTACAGAAAGAGTGTTTCAAACCTGCACTATGAAAAGGAATGTTCAATTCTGTGACTTGAATGCAAACATCAGAAAGAAGTTCCTGAGAATGCTTCTCTCTAGATTTTATACGTCATCCCGTTTCCAACGAAATCCACAAAGCTATCCAATTATCCACTTTCAGATTCCACAAAAGAGTGTTTTAAAACTGCTCTGTAAAAAGAAATGTTCAACGCTCTTAGTTGAATACACACATCTCAAACAAGTTTCTGAGAAGGCTTCCGTCTAGTTTTTATGGGAAGATATTTCCTTTTTCACCATAGGCCTCAAAGCGCTCGAAATCTCCACTTCCAGGGAGTGCAGAAAGAGTGTTTCAAACCTGCTCTGTAAAAGAATATTTAACTCTGTGACTTGAATGCAAACATCACAAAGCAGTTTCTGACAATGCTTCCGTCTAGATTTTTTATGAAGATATTCCCGTTTCCAACGAAATCTTCAAAGCTATCTAAATATCAACTTGCAGATTCTACTAAAGGAATGTTTCCAAAATGCTGTATCCAAACAAAGGTTCAACTCTGTGAATTGAGGACATACAGCACAAAGAAGTTTCTGAGAATGCTTCTGTCTAGATTTAATATGAAGATAACCCGTTTCCAACGAAATCCTCAAAGCTATCCAAATATACACTTGCAGATTCTACAAAAAGAGTGTTTCAAAACTGCTCTGTCCAAAGGATGGTTCAACACTGTTACATGAGTACACACAACACAAAGAAGTTTCTGAGAACGCTTCTTTCTGGTTTTTATGAGAAGATATTTCCTTTTTCACCATAGGCCTCAAAGTGCTCGAAATGTCCACTTCCTGGTAGTGCAGAAAGAGTGTTTCAAACCTGCTCTATGAAAGGAAGTGTTCAACTCCATGAGCTGAATGCAAACATCACAGAGAAGTTTCTGAGAATGCTTCTGTTTGATTCTATATGAAGAAATTCCCGTTTCCAACGAAATCTTCAAAGCTATCCACATATCCACCTGCAGATTCTTCAAAAGGAGTGTTTCCAAAATGCTGTATCAAAACCAAGGTTCAACTCTGTTAGTTGAGGACACACATCACAAATAAGTTTCTGAAAATGCTTCTGTCTAGATTTTATATGAATTTATCCCCTTTCCAACGAATCCCTCTAAGCTATCCAAGTATCCACCTGCAGATTCTACAAAAAGAGTGTTTCCAAAATGCTGTATCAAAACAAAGTTTCAACTCTGTTAGTTGAGGACACACATCACAAATAAGTTTCTGAGGATGCTTCTGTCTAGTTTTAATTTGAAGATATTTCCTTTCTCCCCATAGGCCTGAAAGCGCTTGAAATGTCCACTTCCAGATACTACAGAATGAGTGTTTCAAACCTGCTCTATCAAAGTGAATGTTCAATTCTGTGACTTCAATGCAAACATCACAAAGTAGTTCCTGAGAATGCTTCTCTCTAGATTTTATATGTAATCCCGCTTCCAACGAAATCCTCAAAGCCATCCGAATATCCACTTTCTGATTCCACAAAAAGATTGTTTTAAAACTGCTCTGTAAAAACAAAAGTTCAAGTCTGTTAGTTGAATACACACATCACAAACAAGTTTCTGAGAATGCTTCTGTCTAGTTTTTATGGGAAGATATTTCCTTTTTCACCATAGGCCTCAAAGCGCTCGAAATGTCCACTTCCAGATAGTGCAGAAAGAGTGTTTCAAACGTGCTCTATAAAAGAGAATATTCAACTCTGTGACTTGAATGGAAACATCACAAAGCAGTTTCTGAGAATGCCTCCGTCTAGATTTTATATGAAGATATTCCCGTTTCCAACGAAATCTTCAAATCTATCTAAATATCAACTTGCAGATTCTACTAAAGGAATGTTTCCAAAATGCTGTATCCAAGCAATGGTTCAACTCTGTTAATTGAGGACATACAGCACAAAGAAGTTTCTGAGAATGCTTCTGTCTAGATTTTATATGAAGATATCCCGTTTCCAACGAAATCCTCAAAGCTATCCAAATATCCACTTGCAGATTCTACAAAAAGATTGTTGCAAAACTGCTGTGTCAAAAGGAAGGTTCAACTCTGTTACTTGAGTACACACATCAAAAAGAAGTTTCTGAGAATGCTTGTTTCTGGTTTTTATGAGAAGATATTTCCTTTTTCACCATAGGCCTCAAAGCGCTGCAAATGTCCACTTCCAAATATTACAAAAAGAGTGTTTCAAACCTGCTCTATGAAAGGAAAGTTTTCAACTCTATGAGTGGAATGCAAACATCACAGAGAAGTTTCTGAGAATGCATCTGTCTTGAGTTTCTATGCAGAAATTCCCGTTTCCAACGAAATCTTAAAATCTATCCAAATATCCACCTGCAGATCCTACAAAAGGAGTGTTTCCAAAATGCTGTATCAAAACAAAGGTTCAACTGTGTTCGTTTAGGACACACATCACAAATAAGTTTCTGAGAATCCTTCTGTCTAGTTTTTATTTGAAGATATTTCCTTTCTCCCCGTAGGCCTGAAAGCGCTTGAAATGTCCACTTCCAGATACTACAGAAAGAGTGTTTCAAACCTGCACTCTGAAAAGGAATGTTCAATTCTGTGACTTGAATGCAAACATCAGAAAGAAGTTCCTGAGAATGCTTCTCTCTAGATTTTATACGTCATCCCGTTTCCAACGAAATCCACAAAGCTATCCAATTATCCACTTTCAGATTCCACAGAAAGAGTGTTTTAAAATTGCTCTGTAACAGAAATGTTCAACTCTGGTAGTTGAATACACACATCACAAACAAGTTTCTGAGACGGCTTCTGTCTAGTTTTTATGGGAAGATATTTCCTTTTAACCATAGGCCTCAAAGAGCTCGAAATATCCACTTCCAGGTAGTGCCGAAAGAGTGTTTCAAACCTACTCTATAAAAGGGAATATTCAACTCTGTGACTTGAATGCAAACATCACAAAGCAGTTTCTGAGAATGCTTCCGTCTAGATTTTTTATGAAGATATTCCCGTTTCCAACGAAATCTTCAAAGCTATCTAAATATCAACTTGCAGATTCTACTAAAGGAATGTTTCCAAAATGCTGTATCCAAACAAAGGTTCAACTCTGTGAATTGAGAACATACAGCACAAAGAAGTTTCTGAGAATGCTTCTGTCTAGATTTAATATGAAGATAACCCGTTTCCAACGAAATCCTCAAAGCTATCCAAATATCCACTGGCAGATTCTACAAAAAGAGTGTTTCAAAACTGCTCTGTCAAAAGGATGGTTCAACACTGTTACATGAGTACACACAACACCAAAGAAGTTTCTGAGAACGCTTCTTTCTGGTTTTTATGAGAGGATATTTCCTTTTTCACCATAGGCCTCAAAGCGCTCGAAATGTCCACTTCCAGGTAGTGCAGAAAGAGTGTTTCAAACCTGCTCTATGAAAGGAAGTGTTCAACTCCATGAGCTGAATGCAAACATCACAGAGAAGTTCCTGAGAATGCTTCTGTTTGATTTTATATGAAGAAATTCCCGTTTCCAACGAAATCTTCAAAGCTATCCACATATCCACCTGCAGATTCTTCAAAAGGAGTGTTTCCAAAATGCTGTATCAAAACCAAGGTTCAACTCTGTTAGTTGAGGACACACATCACAAATAAGTTTCTGAGAATGCTTCTGTCTAGATTTTATATGAATTTATCCCCTTTCCAACGAATCCCTCTAAGCTATCCAAGTATCCACCTGCAGATTCTACAAAAAGAGTGTTTCCAAAATGCTGTATCAAAACAAAGTTTCAACTCTGTTAGTTGAGGACACACATCACAAATAAGTTTCTGAGGATGCTTCTGTCTAGTTTTAATTTGAAGATATTTCCTTTCTCCCCATAGGCCTGAAAGCGCTTGAAATGTCCACTTCCAGATACTACAGAATGAGTGTTTCAAACCTGCTCTATCAAAGTGAATGTTCAATTCTGTGACCTCAATGCAAACATCACAAAGAAGTTCCTGAGAATGCTTCTCTCTACATTTTATATGTAATCCCGCTTCCAACGAAATCCTCAAAGCCATCCGAATATCCACTTTCTGATTCCACAAAAAGATTGTTTTAAAACTGCTCTGTAAAAACAAAAGTTCAAGTCTGTTAGTTGAATACACACATCACAAACAAGTTTCTGAGAATGCTTCCGACTAGTTTTTCTGGGAAGATATTTCCTTTTTCACCATAGGCCTCAAAGCGCTCGAAATCTCCACTTCCAGGTAGTGCAGAAAGAGTGTTTCAAACCTGCTCTGTAAAAGACTATTTAACTCTGTGACTTGAATGCAAACATCACAAAGCAGTTTCTGACAATGCTTCCGTCTAGATTTTTTATGAAGATATTCCCGTTTCCAACGAAATCTTCAAAGCTATCTAAATATCCACTTGCAGATTCTACTAAAGGAATGTTTCCAAGATGCTGTATCCAAACAAAGGTTCAACTCTGTGAATTGAGGACATACAGCACAAAGAAGTTTCTCAGAATGCTCCTGTCTGGATTTTATATGAAGATAACCCGTTTCCAACAAAATCCTCAAAGCTATCCAAATATCCACTTGCAGATTCTACCAAAAGAGTGTTTCAAAACTGCTCTGTCAAAAGGAAGGTTCAACACTGTTACTTGAGTACACACAACACAAAGAAGTTTCTGAGAATGCTTGTTTCTGGTTTTTATGAGAAGATATTTCCTTTTTCACCATAGGCCTCAAAGCGCTCGAAATGTCCACTTCCAGGTAGTGCAGAAAGAGTGTTTCAAACCTGCTCTATGAAAGGAAGTGTTCAACTCTACTGAGTTGAATGCAAACATCACAGAGATGTTTCCGAGAATGCTTCTGTCTTGATTTTATATGAAGATATTCCGGTTTCCAACGAAATCTTCAAAGCTATCCAAATATCCACCTGCAGATTCTACAAAAGGAGTGTTTCCAAAATGCTGTATCAAAACAAAGGTTCAACTCTGTTAGTTGAGGACACACATCACAAATAAGTTTCTGAGAATGCTTCTGTCTAGTTTTTATTTGAAGGTATTTCCTTTCTCTCCATAGGCCTGAAAGCGCTTGAAATGCCCACTTCCAGATACTAGAGAAAGAGTGTTTCAAACCTGCTCTATGAAAGGGAATGTTCAATTCTGTGACTTGAATGCAAACATCACAAAGAAGTTCCTGAGAATGCTTCTCTCTAGATATTATATGTCATCCCGTTTCCAACGAAATCCTCAAAGCTATCCAAATATCCACTTGCAGATTCTACAAAAAGAGTGTTTCAAAACTCCTCTGTCAAAAGGATGGTTCAACACTGTTACATGAGTACACACAACACAAAGAAGTTTCTGAGAATGCTTCTTTCTGGTTTCTATGAGAAGATATTTCCTTTTTCACCATAGGACTCAAAGCGCTCGAAATGTCCTCTTCCAGGTAGTGCAGAAAGAGTGTTTCAAACCTGCTCTATGAAAGGAAGTGTACAACTCCATGAGCTGAATGCAAACATCACTGAGAAGTTTCTGAGAATGCTTCTGTTTGATTTTATATGAAGAAATTCCCGTTTCCAACGAAATCTTCAGAGCTATCCACATATCCACATGCAGATTCTACAAAAGGAGTGTTTCCAAAATGCTGTATCAAAACCAAGGTTCAACTCTGTTAGTTGAGGACACACATCACAAATAAGTTTCTGAGAATGCTTCTGTCTAGATTTTATATGAAGATATCCCCTTTCCAACGAATCCCTCTAAGCTATCCAAATATCCACCTGCAGATTCTACAAAAAGAGTGTTTCCAAAATGCTGTATGAAAACAAAGTTTCAACTCTGTTAGTTGAGGACACACATCACAAATAAGTTTGAGGATGCTTCTGTCTAGTTTTTATTCGAAGATATTTCCTTTCTCACCATAGGCCTGAAAGCGCTTGAAATGTCCACTTCCAGATCCTACAGAATGAGTGTTTCAAACCTGCTCTATCAAAGTGAATGTTCAATTCTGTGACTTCAATGCAAACATCACAAAGAAGTTCCTGAGAATGCTTCTCTCTAGATTTTATATGTAATCCCTCTTCCAACGAAATCCTCAAAGCCATCCGAATATCCACTTTCTGATTCCACAAAAAGATTGTTTTAAAACTGCTCTGTAAAAACAAAAGTTCAAGTCTGTTAGTTGAATACACACATCACAAACAAGTTTCTGAGAATGCTTCTGTCTAGTTTTTATGGGAAGATATTTCCTTTTTCACCATAGGCCTCAAAGCGCTCGAAATGTCCACTTCCAGATAGTGCAGAAAGAGTGTTTCAAACGTGCTGTATAAAAGAGAATATTCAACTCTGTGACTTGAATGGAAACATCACAAAGCAGTTTCTGAGAATGCCTCCGTCTAGATTTTATATGAAGATATTCCCGTTTCCAACGAAATCTTCAAATCTATCTAAATATCAACTTGCAGATTCTACTCAAGGAATGTTTCCAAAATGCTGTATCCAAGCAATGGTTCAACTCTGTTAATTGAGGACATACAGCACAAAGAAGTTTCTGAGAATGCTTCTGTCTAGATTTTATATGAAGATATCCCGTTTCCAACGAAATCCTCAAAGCTATCCAAATATCCACTTGCAGATTCTACAAAAAGATTGTTTCAAAACTGCTGTGTCAAAAGGAAGGTTCAACTCTGTTACTTGAGTACACACATCAAAAAGAAGTTTCTGAGAATGCTTGTTTCTGGTTTTTATGAGAAGATATTTCCTTTTTCACCATAGGCCTCAAAGCGCTGCAAATGTCCACTTCCAAATATTACAAAAAGAGTGTTTCAAACCTGCTCTATGAAAGGAAGTTTTCAACTCTATGAGTGGAATGCAAACATCACAGAGAAGTTTCTGAGAATGCATCTGTCTTGAGTTTATATGCAGAAATTCCCGTTTCCAACGAAATCTTAAAATCTATCCAAATATCCACCTGCAGATCCTACAAAAGGAGTGTTTCCAAAATGCTGTATCAAAACAAAGGTTCAACTGTGTTCGTTTAGGACACACATCACAAATAAGTTTCTGAGAATCCTTCTGTCTAGTTTTTATTTGAAGATATTTCCTTTCTCCCCGTAGGCCTGAAAGCGCTTGAAATGTCCACTTCCAGATACTACAGAAAGAGTGTTTCAAACCTGCACTCTGAAAAGGAATGTTCAATTCTGTGACTTGAATGCAAACATCAGAAAGAAGTTCCTGAGAATGCTTCTCTCTAGATTTTATACGTCATCCCGTTTCCAACGAAATCCACAAAGCTATCCAATTATCCACTTTCAGATTCCACAGAAAGAGTGTTTTAAAATTGCTCTGTAACAGAAATGTTCAACTCTGGTAGTTGAATACACACATCACAAACAAGTTTCTGAGACGGCTTCTGTCTAGTTTTTATGGGAAGATATTTCCTTTTAACCATAGGCCTCAAAGAGCTCTAAATATCCACTTCCAGGTAGTGCCGAAAGAGTGTTTCAAACCTACTCTATAAAAGGGAATATTCAACTCTGTGACTTGAATGCAAACATCACAAAGCAGTTTCTGAGAATGCTTCCGTCTAGATTTTCTATGAAGATATTCCCGTTTCCAACGAAATCTTCAAAGCTATCTAAATATCAACTTGCAGATTCTACTAAAGGAATGTCTCCAAAATGCTGTATCCAAACAAAGGTTCAGCTCTGTGAATTGAGGACATACAGCACAAAGAAGTTTCTGAGAATGCTCCTGTCTGGATTTTATAGGAAGATAACCCGTTTCCAACGAATTCCTCAAAGCTCTCCAAATATCCACTTGCAGATTCTACCAAAAGAGTGTTTCAAAACTGCTCTGTCAAAAGGAAGGATCAACACTGTTACTTGAGTACACACAACACAAAGAAGTTTCTGAGAATGCTTCTTTCTGGTTTTTATGAGAAGATATTTCCTTTTTCACCATAGGCCTCAAAGCGCTCGAAATGTCCGCTTCCAGGTAGTGCAGAAAGAGTGTTTCAAACCTGCTCTATGAAAGGAAGTGTTCAACTCTACTGAGTTGAATGCAAACATCACAGAGATGTTTCCGAGAATGCTTCTGTCTTGATTTTATATGAAGATATTCCGGTTTCCAACGAAATCTTCAAAGCTATCCAAATATCCACCTGCAGATTCTACAAAAGGAGTGTTTCCAAAATGCTGTATCAAAACAAAGGTTCAACTCTGTTAGTTGAGGACACACATCACAAATAAGTTTCTGAGAATGCTTCTGTCTAGATTTTATATGAAGATATCCCCTTTCCAACGAATCCCTCTAAGCTATCAAAATATCCACCTGCAGATTCTACAAAAAGAGTGTTTCCAAAATGCTGTATCAAAACAAAGTTTCAACTCTGTTAGTTGAGGACACACATCACAAATAAGTTTCTGAGGATGCTTCTGTCTAGTTTTTATTCGAAGATATTTCCTTTCTCACCATAGGCCTGAAAGCGCTTGAAATGTCCACTTCCAGATACTACAGAATGAGTGTTTCAAACCTGCTCTATAAAAGTGAATGTTCAATTCCGTGACTTCAATGCAAACATCACAAAGAAGTTCCTGAGAATGCTTCTCTCTAGATTTTATACGTAATCCCGCTTCCAACGAAATCCTCAGAGCCATCCGAATATCCACTTTCTGATTCCACAAAAAGAGTGTTTTAAAACGGCTCTGTAAAAACAAAAGTTCAACTCTGTTAGTTGAATACACACATCACAAACAAGTTTCTGAGAATGCTTCTGTCTAGTTTTTATGGGAAGATATTTCCTTTTTCACCATAGGCCTCAAAGCGCTCGAAATGTCCGCTTCCAGATAGTGCAGAAAGAGTGTTTCAAACGTGCTCTATAAAAGGGAATATTCAACTCTGTGACTTGAATGGAAACATCACAAAGCAGTTTCTGAGAATGCTTCCCTCTAGATTTTATATGGAGATATTCCCTTTTCCAACGAAATCTTCAAATCTATCTAAATATCAACTTGCAGATTCTACTCAAGGAATGTTTCCAAAATGCTGTATCCAAGCAATGGTTCAACTCTGTTAATTGAGGACATACAGCACAAAGAAGTTTCTGAGAATGCTTCTGTCTAGATTTTATATGAAGATATCCCGTTTCCAACGAAATCCTCAAAGCTATCCAAATATCCACTTGCAGATTCTACAAAAAGATTGTTTCAAAACTGCTGTGTCAAAAGGAAGGTTCAACTCTGTTACTTGAGTACACACATCAAAAAGAAGTTTCTGAGAATGCTTGTTTCTGGTTTTTATGAGAAGATATTTCCTTTTTCACCATAGGCCTCAAAGCGCTGCAAATGTCCACTTCCAAATATTACAAAAAGAGTGTTTCAAACCTGCTCTATGAAAGGAAGTTTTCAACTCTATGAGTGGAATGCAAACATCACAGAGAAGTTTCTGAGAATGCATCTGTCTTGAGCTTCTATGAAGAAATTCCCGTTTCCAACGAAATCTTAAAATCTATCCAAATATCCACCTGCAGATCCTACAAAAGGAGTGTTTCCAAAATGCTGTATCAAAACAAAGGTTCAACTGCGTTCGTTTAGGACACACATCACAAATAAGTTTCTGAGAATCCTTCTGTCTAGTTTTTATTTGAAGATATTTCCTTTCTCCCCGTAGGCCTGAAAGCGCTTGAAATGTCCACTTCCAGATACTACAGAAAGAGTGTTTCAAACCTGCACTCTGAAAAGGAATGTTCAATTCTGTGACTTGAATGCAAACATCAGAAAGAAGTTCCTGAGAATGCTTCTCTCTAGATTTTATACGTCATCCCGTTTCCAACGAAATCCACAAAGCTATCCAATTATCCACTTTCAGATTCCACAAAAAGAGTGTTTTAAAATTGCTCTGTAACAGAAATGTTCAACTCTGTTAGTTGAATACACACATCACAAACAAGTTTCTGAGACGGCTTCTGTCTAGTTTTTATGGGAAGATATTTCCTTTTAACCATAGGCCTCAAAGAGCTCGAAATATCCACTTCCAGGTAGTGCCGAAAGAGTGTTTCAAACCTACTCTATAAAAGGGAATATTCAACTCTGTGACTTGAATGCAAACATCACAAAGCAGTTTCTGAGAATGCTTCCGTCTAGATTTTCTATGAAGATATTCCCGTTTCCATCGAAATCTTCAAAGCTATCTAAATATCAACTTGCAGATTCTACTAAAGGAATGTCTCCAAAATGCTGTATCCAAACAAAGGTTCAGCTCTGTGAATTGAGGACATACAGCACAAAGAAGTTTCTGAGAATGCTCCTGTCTGGATTTTATATGAAGATAACCCGTTTCCAACGAAATCCTCAAAGCTCTCCAAATATCCACTTGCAGATTCTACCAAAAGAGTGTTTCAAAACTGCTCTGTCAAAAGGAAGGTTCAACACTGTTACTTGAGTACACACAACACAAAGAAGTTTCTGAGAATGCTTCTTTCTGGTTTTTATGAGAAGATATTTCCTTTTTCACCATAGGCCTCAAAGCGCTCGAAATGTCCGCTTCCAGGTAGTGCAGAAAGAGTGTTTCAAACCTGCTCTATGAAAGGAAGTGTTCAACTCTACTGAGTTGAATGCAAACATCACAGAGATGTTTCCGAGAATGCTTCTGTCTTGATTTTATATGAAGATATTCCGGTTTCCAACGAAATCTTCAAAGCTATCCAAATATCCACCTGCAGATTCTACAAAAGGAGTGTTTCCAAAATGCTGTATCAAAACAAAGGTTCAACTCTGTTAGTTGAGGACACACATCACAAATAAGTTTCTGAGAATGCTTCTGTCTAGTTTTTATTTGAAGGTATTTCCTTTCTCTCCATAGGCCTGAAAGCGCTTGAAATGCCCACTTCCAGATACTAGAGAAAGAGTGTTTCAAACCTGCTCTATGAAAGGGAATGTTCAATTCTGTGACTTGAATGCAAACATCACAAAGAAGTTCCTGAGAATGCTTCTCTCTAGATATTATATGTCATCCCGTTTCCAACGAAATCCTCAAAGCTATCCAAATATCCACTTGCAGATTCTACAAAAAGAGTGTTTCAAAACTGCTCTGTCAAAAGGATGGTTCAACACTGTTACATGAGTACACACAACACAAAGAAGTTTCTGAGAATGCTTCTTTCTGGTTTCTATGAGAAGATATTTCCTTTTTCACCATAGGACTCAAAGCGCTCGAAATGTCCTCTTCCAGGTAGTGCAGAAAGAGTGTTTCAAACCGGCTCTATGAAAGGAAGTGTTCAACTCCATGAACTGAATGCAAACATCACTGAGAAGTTTCTGAGAATGCTTCTGTTTGATTTTATATGAAGAAATTCCCGTTTCCAACGAAATCTTCAGAGCTATCCACATATCCACCTGCAGATTCTACAAAAGGAGTGTTTCCAAAATGCTGTATCAAAACCAAAGTTCAACTCTGTTAGTTGAGGACACACATCACAAATAAGTTTCTGAGAATGCTTCTGTCTAGATTCTATATGAAGATATCCCCTTTCCAACGAATCCCTCTAAGCTATCCAAATATCCACCTGCAGATTCTACAAAAAGAGTGTTTCCAAAATGCTGTATCAAAACAAAGTTTCAACTCTGTTAGTTGAGGACACACATCACAAATAAGTTTGAGGATGCTTCTGTCTAGTTTTTATTCGAAGATATTTCCTTTCTCACCATAGGCCTGAAAGCGCTTGAAATGTCCACTTCCAGATACTACAGAATGAGTGTTTCAAACCTGCTCTATCAAAGTGAATGTTCAATTCTGTGACTTCAATGCAAACATCACAAAGAAGTTCCTGAGAATGCTTCTCTCTAGATTTTATATGTAATCCCACTTCCAACGAAATCCTCAGAGCCATCCGAATATCCACTTTCTGATTCCACAAAAAGAGTGTTTTAAAACGGCTCTGTAAAAACAAAAGTTCAACTCTGTTAGTTGAATACACACATCACAAACAAGTTTCTGAGAATGCTTCTGTCTAGTTTTTATGGGAAGATATTTCCTTTTTCACCATAGGCCTCAAAGCGCTCGAAATGTCCACTTCCAGATAGCGCAGAAAGAGTGTTTCAAACGTGCTCTATAAAAGGGAATATTCAACTCTGTGACTTGAATGGAAACATCACAAAGCAGTTTCTGAGAATGCTTCCCTCTAGATTTTATATGGAGATATTCCGTTTTCGAACGAAATCTTCAAATCTATCTAAATATCAACTTGCAGATTCTACTCAAGGAATGTTTCCAAAATGCTGTATGCAAGCAATGGTTCAACTCTGTTAATTGAGGTCATACAGCACAAAGAAGTTTCTGAGAATGCTTCTGTCTAGATTTTATATGAAGATATCCCGTTTCCAACGAAATCCTCAAAGCTATCCAAATATCCACTTGCAGATTCTACAAAAAGATTGTTTCAAAACTGCTGTGTCAAAAGGAAGGTTCAACTCTGTTACTTGAGTACACACATCAAAAAGAAGTTTCTGAGAATGCTTGTTTCTGGTTTTTATGAGAAGATATTTCCTTTTTCACCATAGGCCTCAAAGCGCTGCAAATGTCCACTTCCAAATATTACAAAAAGAGTGTTTCAAACCTGCTCTATGAAAGGAAGTTTTCAACTCTATGAGTGGAATGCAAACATCACAGAGAAGTTTCTGAGAATGCATCTGTCTTGAGCTTCTATGAAGAAATTCCCGTTTCCAACGAAATCTTAAAATCTATCCAAATATCCACCTGCAGATCCTACAAAAGGAGTGTTTCCAAAATGCTGTATCAAAACAAAGGTTCAACTGTGTTCGTTTAGGACACACATCACAAATAAGTTTCTGAGAATCCTTCTGTCTAGTTTTTATTTGAAGATATTTCCTTTCTCCCCGTAGGCCTGAAAGCGCTTGAAATGTCCACTTCCAGATACTACAGAAAGAGTGTTTCAAACCTGCACTCTGAAAAGGAATGTTCAATTCTGTGACTTGAATGCAAACATCAGAAAGAAGTTCCTGAGAATGCTTCTCTCTAGATTTTATACGTCATCCCGTTTCCAACGAAATCCACAAAGCTATCCAATTATCCACTTTCAGATTCCACAAAGAGTGTTTTAAAATTGCTCTGTAACAGAAATGTTCAACTCTGTTAGTTGAATACACACATCACAAACAAGTTTCTGAGACGGCTTCTGTCTAGTTTTTATGGGAAGATATTTCCTTTTAACCATAGGCCTCAAAGAGCTCGAAATATCCACTTCCAGGTAGTGCCGAAAGAGTGTTTCAAACCTACTCTATAAAAGGGAATATTCAACTCTGTGACTTGAATGCAAACATCACAAAGCAGTTTCTGAGAATGCTTCCGTCTAGATTTTCTATGAAGATATTCCCGTTTCCAACGAAATCTTCAAAGCTATCTAAATATCAACTTGCAGATTCTACTAAAGGAATGTCTCCAAAATGCTGTATCCAAACAAAGGTTCAGCTCTGTGAATTGAGGACATACAGCACAAAGAAGTTTCTGAGAATGCTCCTGTCTGGATTTTATATGAAGATAACCCGTTTCCAATGAAATCCTCAAAGCTCTCCAAATATCCACTTGCAGATTCTACCAAAAGAGTGTTTCAAAACTGCTCTGTCAAAAGGAAGGTTCAACACTGTTACTTGAGTACACACAACACAAAGAAGTTTCTGAGAATGCTTCTTTCTGGTTTTTATGAGAAGATATTTCCTTTTTCACCATAGGCCTCAAAGCGCTCGAAATGTCCGCTTCCAGGTAGTGCAGAAAGAGTGTTTCAAACCTGCTCTATGAAAGGAAGTGTTCAACTCTACTGAGTTGAATGCAAACATCACAGAGATGTTTCCGAGAATGCTTCTGTCGTGATTTTATATGAAGATATTCCGGTTTCCAACGAAATCTTCAAAGCTATCCAAATATCCACCTGCAGATTCTACAAAAGGAGTGTTTCCAAAATGCTGTATCAAAACAAAGGTTCAACTCTGTTAGTTGAGGACACACATCACAAATAAGTTTCTGAGAATGCTTCTGTCTAGTTTTTATTTGAAGGTATTTCCTTTCTCTCCATAGGCCTGAAAGCGCTTGAAATGCCCACTTCCAGATACTAGAGAAAGAGTGTTTCAAACCTGCTCTATGAAAGGGAATGTTCAATTCTGTGACTTGAATGCAAACATCACAAAGAAGTTCCTGAGAATGCTTCTCTCTAGATATTATATGTCATCCCGTTTCCAACGAAATCCTCAAAGCTATCCAAATATCCACTTGCAGATTCTACAAAAAGAGTGTTTCAAAACTCCTCTGTCAAAAGGATGGTTCAACACTGTTACATGAGTACACACAACACAAAGAAGTTTCTGAGAATGCTTCTTTCTGGTTTCTATGAGAAGATATTTCCTTTTTCACCATAAGACTCAAAGCGCTCGAAATGTCCTCTTCCAGGTAGTGCAGAAAGAGTGTTTCAAACCGGCTCTATGAAAGGAAGTGTTCAACTCCATGAACTGAATGCAAACATCACTGAGAAGTTTCTGAGAATGCTTCTGTTTGATTTTCTATGAAGAAATTCCCGTTTCCAACGAAATCTTCAGAGCTATCCACATATCCACCTGCAGATTCTACAAAAGGAGTGTTTCCAAAATGCTGTATCAAAACCAAAGTTCAACTCTGTTAGTTGAGGACACACATCACAAATAAGTTTCTGAGAATGCTTCTGTCTAGATTCTATATGAAGATATCCCCTTTCCAACGAATCCCTCTAAGCTATCCAAATATCCACCTGCAGATTCTACAAAAAGAGTGTTTCCAAAATGCTGTATCAAAACAAAGTTTCAACTCTGTTAGTTGAGGACACACATCACAAATAAGTTTGAGGATGCTTCTGTCTAGTTTTTATTCGAAGATATTTCCTTTCTCACCATAGGCCTGAAAGCGCTTGAAATGTCCACTTCCAGATACTACAGAATGAGTGTTTCAAACCTGCTCTATCAAAGTGAATGTTCAATTCTGTGACTTCAATGCAAACATCACAAAGAAGTTCCTGAGAATGCTTCTCTCTAGATTTTATATGTAATCCCGCTTCCAACGAAATCCTCAGAGCCATCCGAATATCCACTTTCTGATTCCACAAAAAGAGTGTTTTAAAACGGCTCTGTAAAAACAAAAGTTCAACTCTGTTAGTTGAATACACACATCACAAACAAGTTTCTGAGAATGCTTCTGTCTAGTTTTTATGGGAAGATATTTCCTTTTTCACCATAGGCCTCAAAGCGCTCGAAATGTCCACTTCCAGATAGCGCAGAAAGAGTGTTTCAAACGTGCTCTATAAAAGGGAATATTCAACTCTGTGACTTGAAAGGAAACATCACAAAGCAGTTTCTGAGAATGCTTCCCTCTAGATTTTATATGGAGATATTCCGTTTTCGAACGAAATCTTCAAATCTATCTAAATATCAACTTGCAGATTCTACTCAAGGAATGTTTCCAAAATGCTGTATGCAAGCAATGGTTCAACTCTGTTAATTGAGGTCATACAGCACAAAGAAGTTTCTGAGAATGCTTCTGTCTAGATTTTATATGAAGATATCCCGTTTCCAACGAAATCCTCAAAGCTATCCAAATATCCACTTGCAGATTCTACAAAAAGATTGTTTCAAAACTGCTGTGTCAAAAGGAAGGTTCAACTCTGTTACTTGAGTACACACATCAAAAAGAAGTTTCTGAGAATGCTTGTTTCTGGTTTTTATGAGAAGATATTTCCTTTTTCACCATAGGCCTCAAAGCGCTGCAAATGTCCACTTCCAAATATTACAAAAAGAGTGTTTCAAACCTGCTCTATGAAAGGAAGTTTTCAACTCTATGAGTGGAATGCAAACATCACAGAGAAGTTTCTGAGAATGCATCTGTCTTGAGTTTCTATGCAGAAATTCCCGTTTCCAACGAAATCTTAAAATCTATCCAAATATCCACCTGCAGATCCTACAAAAGGAGTGTTTCCAAAATGCTGTATCAAAACAAAGGTTCAACTGTGTTCGTTTAGGACACACATCACAAATAAGTTTCTGAGAATCCTTCTGTCTAGTTTTTATTTGAAGATATTTCCTTTCTCCCCGTAGGCCTGAAAGCGCTTGAAATGTCCACTTCCAGATACTACAGAAAGAGTGTTTCAAACCTGCACTCTGAAAAGGAATGTTCAATTCTGTGACTTGAATGCAAACATCAGAAAGAAGTTCCTGAGAATGCTTCTCTCTAGATTTTATACGTCATCCCGTTTCCAACGAAATCCACAAAGCTATCCAATTATCCACTTTCAGATTCCACAGAAAGAGTGTTTTAAAATTGCTCTGTAACAGAAATGTTCAACTCTGGTAGTTGAATACACACATCACAAACAAGTTTCTGAGACGGCTTCTGTCTAGTTTTTATGGGAAGATATTTCCTTTTAACCATAGGCCTCAAAGAGCTCGAAATATCCACTTCCAGGTAGTGCCGAAAGAGTGTTTCAAACCTACTCTATAAAAGGGAATATTCAACTCTGTGACTTGAATGCAAACATCACAAAGCAGTTTCTGAGAATGCTTCCGTCTAGATTTTCTATGAAGATATTCCCGTTTCCAACGAAATCTTCAAAGCTATCTAAATATCAACTTGCAGATTCTACTAAAGGAATGTCTCCAAAATGCTGTATCCAAACAAAGGTTCAGCTCTGTGAATTGAGGACATACAGCACAAAGAAGTTTCTGAGAATGCTCCTGTCTGGATTTTATAGGAAGATAACCCGTTTCCAACGAAATCCTCAAAGCTATCCAAATATCCACTTGCAGATTCTACCAAAAGAGTGTTTCAAAACTACTCTGTCAAAAGGAAGGTTCAACACTGTTACTTGAGTACACACAACACAAAGAAGTTTCTGAGAATGCTTCTTTCTGGTTTTTATGAGAAGATATTTCCTTTTTCACCATAGGCCTCAAAGCGCTCGAAATGTCCGCTTCCAGGTAGTGCAGAAAGAGTGTTTCAAACCTGCTCTATGAAAGGAAGTGTTCAACTCTACTGAGTTGAATGCAAACATCACAGAGATGTTTCCGAGAATGCTTCTGTCTTGATTTTATAGGAAGATATTCCGGTTTCCAACGAAATCTTCAAAGCTATCCACATATCCACCTGCAGATTCTACAAAAGGAGTGTTTCCAAAATGCTGTATCAAAACAAAGGTTCAACTCTGTTAGTTGAGGACACACATCACAAATAAGTTTCTGAGAATGCTTCTGTCTAGTTTTTATTTGAAGGTATTTCCTTTCTCTCCATAGGCCTGAAAGCGCTTGAAATGCCCACTTCCAGATACTAGAGAAAGAGTGTTTCAAACCTGCTCTATGAAAGGGAATGTTCAATTCTGTGACTTGAATGCAAACATCACAAAGAAGTTCCTGAGAATGCTTCTCTCTAGATATTATATGTCATCCCGTTTCCAACGAAATCCTCAAAGCTATCCAAATATCCACTTGCAGATTCTACAAAAAGAGTGTTTCAAAACTGCTCTGTCAAAAGGATGGTTCAACACTGTTACATGAGTACACACAACACAAAGAAGTTTCTGAGAATGCTTCTTTCTGGTTTCTATGAGAAGATATTTCCTTTTTCACCATAGGACTCAAAGCGCTCGAAATGTCCTCTTCCAGGTAGTGCAGAAAGAGTGTTTCAAACCTGCTCTATGAAAGGAAGTGTACAACTCCATGAGCTGAATGCAAACATCACTGAGAAGTTTCTGAGAATGCTTCTGTTTGATTTTATATGAAGAAATTCCCGTTTCCAACGAAATCTTCAGAGCTATCCACATATCCACCTGCAGATTCTACAAAAGGAGTGTTTCCAAAATGCTGTATCAAAACCAAGGTTCAACTCTGTTAGTTGAGGACACACATCACAAATAAGTTTCTGAGAATGCTTCTGTCTAGATTTTATATGAAGATATCCCCTTTCCAACGAATCCCTCTAAGCTATCCAAATATCCACCTGCAGATTCTACAAAAAGAGTGTTTCCAAAATGCTGTATCAAAACAAAGTTTCAACTCTGTTAGTTGAGGACACACATCACAAATAAGTTTCTGAGGATGCTTCTGTCTAGTTTTTATTTGAAGATATTTCCTTTCTCCCCATAGGCCTGAAAGCGCTTGAATTGTCCACTTCCAGATACTACAGAATGAGTGTTTCAAACCTGCTCTATCAAAGTGAATGTTCAATTCTGTGACTTCAATGTAAACATCACAAAGAAGTTCCTGAGAATGCTTCTCTCTAGATTTTATATGTAATCCCGCTTCCAACGAAATCCTCAGAGCCATCCGAATATCCACTTTCTGATTCCACAAAAAGAGTGTTTTAAAACGGCTCTGTAAAAACAAAAGTTCAACTCTGTTAGTTGAATACACACATCACAAACAAGTTTCTGAGAATGCTTCTGTCTAGTTTTTATGGGAAGATATTTCCTTTTTCACCATAGGCCTCAAAGCGCTCGAAATGTCCACTTCCAGATAGTGCAGAAAGAGTGTTTCAAACGTGCTCTATAAAAGGGAATATTCAACTCTGTGACTTGAATGGAAACATCACAAAGCAGTTTCTGAGAATGCTTCCCTCTAGATTTTATATGGAGATATTCCGTTTTCGAACGAAATCTTCAAATCTATCTAAATATCAACTTGCAGATTCTACTCAAGGAATGTTTCCAAAATGCTGTATGCAAGCAATGGTTCAACTCTGTTAATTGAGGTCATACAGCACAAAGAAGTTTCTGAGAATGCTTCTGTCTAGATTTTATATGAAGATATCCCGTTTCCAACGAAATCCTCAAAGCTATCCAAATATCCACTTGCAGATTCTACAAAAAGATTGTTTCAAAACTGCTGTGTCAAAAGGAAGGTTCAACTCTGTTACTTGAGTACACACATCAAAAAGAAGTTTCTGAGAATGCTTGTTTCTGGTTTTTATGAGAAGATATTTCCTTTTTCACCATAGGCCTCAAAGCGCTGCAAATGTCCACTTCCAAATATTACAAAAAGAGTGTTTCAAACCTGCTCTATGAAAGGAAGTTTTCAACTCTATGAGTGGAATGCAAACATCACAGAGAAGTTTCTGAGAATGCATCTGTCTTGAGTTTCTATGCAGAAATTCCCGTTTCCAACGAAATCTTAAAATCTATCCAAATATCCACCTGCAGATCCTACAAAAGGAGTGTTTCCAAAATGCTGTATCAAAACAAAGGTTCAACTGTGTTCGTTTAGGACACACATCACAAATAAGTTTCTGAGAATCCTTCTGTCTAGTTTTTAATTTGAAGATATTTCCTTTCTCCCCATAGGCCTGAAAGCGCTTGAAATGTCCACTTCCAGATAGTACAGAAAGAGTGTTTCAAACCTGCACTATGAAAAGGAATGTTCAATTCTGTGACTTGAATGCAAACATCAGAAAGAAGTTTCTGAGAATGCTTCTCTCTAGATTTTATACGTAATCCCGTTTCCAACGAAATCCACAAAGCTATCCAATTATCCACTTTCAGATTCCACAAAAAGAGTGTTTTAAAACTGCTCTGTAGAAAGAAATGTTCAACGCTCTTAGTTGAATACACACATCTCAAACAAGTTTCTGAGAAGGCTTCCGTCTAGTTTTTATGGGAAGATATTTCCTTTTTCACCATAGGCCTCAAAGCACTCGAAATCTCCACTTCCAGGGAGTGCAGAAAGAGTGTTTCAAACCTGCTCTGTAAAAGAATATTTAACTCTGTGACTTGAATGCAAACATCACAAAGCAGTTTCTGACAATGCTTCCGTCTAGATTTTTTATGAAGATATTCCCGTTTCCAACGAAATCTTCAAAGCTATCTAAATATCAACTTGCAGATTCTACTAAAGGAATGTTTCCAAAATGCTGTATCCAAGCAATGGTTCAACTCTGTTAATTGAGGACATACAGCACAAAGAAGTTTCTGAGAATGCTTCTGTCTAGATTTTATATGAAGATATCCCATTTCCAACGAAATCCTCAAAGCTATCCAAATATCCACTTGCAGATTCTACAAAAAGATTGTTTCAAAACTGCTCTGTCAAAAGGATGGTTCAACACTGTTACATGAGTACACACAACACAAAGAAGTTTCTGAGAACGCTTCTTTCTGGTTTTTATGAGAAGATATTTCCTTTTTCACCATAAGCCTCAAAGCGCTCGAAATGTCCACTTCCTGGTAGTGCAGAAAGAGTTTTTCAAACCTGCTCTATGAAAGGAAGTGTTCAACTCCATGAGCTGAATGCAAACATCACAGAGAAGTTTCTGAGAATGCTTCTGTTTGATTTTATATGAAGAAATTCCCGTTTCCAACGAAATCTTCAAAGCTATCCACATATCCACCTGCAGATTCTACAAAAGGAGTGTTTCCAAAATGCTGTATCAAAACCAAGGTTCCACTCTGTTAGTTGAGGACACACATCACAAATAAGTTTCTGAGAATGCTTCTGTCTAGATTTTATATGAAGATATCCCCTTTCCAACGAATCCCACTAAGCTATCCAAATATCCACCTGCAGATTCTACAAAAGGAGTGTTTCCAAAATGCTGTATCAAAACAAAGGTTCAACTGTGTTCGTTTAGGACACACATCACCAATAAGTTTCTGAGAATCCTTCTCTCTAGTTTTTATTTGAAGATATTTCCTTTCTCCCCATAGGCCTGAAAGCGCTTGAATTGTCCGCTTCCAGATACTACAGAATGAGTGTTTCAAACCTGCTCTATCAAAGTGAATGTTCAATTCTGTGACTTCAATGCAAACATCACAAAGTAGTTCCTGAGAATGCTTCTCTCTAGATTTTATATGTAATCCCGCTTCCAACGAAGTCCTCAAAGCCATCCGAATATCCACTTTCTGATTCCACAAAAAGATTGTCTTAAAACTGCTCTGTAAAAACAAAAGTTCAAGTCTGTTTGTTGAATACACACATCATAAACAAGTTTCTGAGAATGCTTCTGTCTAGTTTTTATGGGAAGATATTTCCTTTTTCACCATAGGCCTCACAGCGCTCGAAATGTCCACTTCCAGATAGTGCAGAAAGAGTGTTTCAAACGTGCTCTATAAAAGAGAATATTCAACTCTGTGACTTGAATGGAAACATCACAAAGCAGTTTCTGAGAATGCCTCCGTCTAGATTTTATATGAAGATATTCCCGTTTCCAACGAAATCTTCAAATCTATCTAAATATCAACTTGCAGATTCTACTAAAGGAATGTTTCCAAAATGCTGTATCCAAGCAATGGTTCAACTCTGTTAATTGAGGACATACAGCACAAAGAAGTTTCTGAGAATGCTTCTGTCTAGGTTTTATATGAAGATATCCCGTTTCCAACGAAATCCTCAAAGCTATCCAAATATCCACTTGCAGATTCTACAAAAAGATTGTTTCAAAACTGCTGTGTCAAAAGGAAGGTTCAACTCTGTTACTTGAGTACACACATCAAAAAGCAGTTTCTGAGAATGCTTGTTTCTGGTTTTTATGAGAAGATATTTCCTTTTTCACCATAGGCCTCAAAGCGCTGCAAATGTCCACTTCCAAATATTACAAAAAGAGTGTTTCAAACCTGCTCTATGAAAGGAAGTTTTCAACTCTATGAGTGGAATGCAAACATCACAGAGAAGTTTCTGAGAATGCATCTGTCTTGAGTTTATATGAAGAAATTCCCGTTTCCAATGAAATCTTAAAATCTATCCAAATATCCACCTGCAGATTCTACAAAAGGAGTGTTTCCAAAATGCTGTATCAAAACAAAGGTTCAACTGTGTTCGTTTAGGACACACATCACAAATAAGTTTCTGAGAATCCTTCTGTCTAGTTTTTATTTCAAGATATTTCCTTTCTCCCCATAGGCTTGAAAGCGCTTGAAATGTCCACTTCCAGATACTACAGAGTGTTTCAAACCTGCACTATGAAAAGGAATGTTCAATTCTGTGACTTGAATGCAAACATCAGAAAGAAGTTCCTGAGAATGCTTCTCTCTAGATTTTAAACGTAATCCCGTTTCCAACGAAATCCACAAAGCTATCCAATTATCCACTTTCAGATTCCACCAAAAGAGTGTTTTAAAACTGCTCTGTAAAAAGAAATGTTCAACGCTCTTAGTTGAATACACACATCTCAAACAAGTTTCTGAGAAGGCTTCCGTCTAGTTTTTATGGGAAGATATTTCCTTTTTCACCATAGGCCTCAAAGCGCTCGAAATCTCCACTTCCAGGGAGTGCAGAAAGAGTGTTTCAAACCTGCTCTGTAAAAGAATATTTAACTCTGTGACTTGAATGCAAACATCACAGAGCAGTTTCTGACAATGCTTCCGTCTAGATTTTTTATGAAGATATTCCCGTTTCCAACGAAATCTTCAAAGCTATCTAAATATCAACTTGCAGATTCTACTAAAGGAATGTTTCCAAAATGCTGTATCCAAACAAAGGTTCAACTCTGTGAATTGAGGACATACAGCACAAAGAAGTTTCTGAGAATGCTTCTGTCTAGATTTAATATGAAGATAACCCGTTTCCAACGAAATCCTCAAAGCTATCCAAATATCCACTTGCAGATTCTACAAAAAGAGTGTTTCAAAACTGCTCTGTCAAAAGGATGGTTCAACACTGTTACATGAGTACACAGAACACAAAGAAGTTTCTGAGAACGCTTCTTTCTGGTTTTTATGAGAAGATATTTCCTTTTTCACCATACGCCTCAAAGCGCTCGAAATGTCCACTTCCTGGTAGTGCAGAAAGAGTGTCTCAAACCTGCTCTATGAAAGGAAGTGTTCAACTCCATGAGCTGAATGCAAACATCACAGAGAAGTTTCTGAGAATGCTTCTGTTTGATTTTATATGAAGAAATTCCCGTTTCCAGCGAAATCTTCAAAGCTATCCACATATCCACCTGCAGATTCTACAAAAGGAGTGTTTCCAAAATGCTGTATCAAAACCAAGGTTCAACTCTGTTAGTTGAGGACACACATCACCAATAAGTTTCTGAGAATGCTTCTGTCTAGATTTTATATGAAGATATCCCCTTTCCAACGAATCCCTCTAAGCTATCCAAATATCCACCTGCAGATTCTACAAAAAGAGTGTTTCCAAAATGCTGTATCAAAACAGAAGTTTCAACTCTGTTAGTTGAGGACACACATCACAAATAAGTTTCTGAGGATGCTTCTGTCTAGTTTTTATTTGAAGATATTTCCTTTCTCCCCATAGGCCTGAAAGCGCTTGAAATGTCCACTTCCAGATACTACAGAATGAGTGTTTCAAACCTGCTCTATCAAAGTGTATGTTCAGTTCTGTGACTTCAATGCAAACATCACAAAGTAGTTCCTGAGAATGCTTCTCTCTAGATTTTATATGTAATCCCGCTTCCAACGAAATCCTCAAAGCCATCCGAATATCCACTTTCTGATTCCACAAAAAGATTGTTTTAAAACTGCTCTGTAAAAACAAAAGTTCAAGTCTGTTAGTTGAATACACACATCACAAACAAGTTTCTGAGAATGTTTCTGTCTAGTTTTTATGGGAAGATATTTCCTTTTTCACCATAGGCCTCAAAGCGCTCGAAATGTCCACTTCCAGATAGTGCAGAAAGAGTGTTTCAAACGTGCTCTATAAAAGAGAATATTCAACTCTGTGACTTGAATGGAAACATCACAAAGCAGTTTCTGAGAATGCCTCCGTCTAGATTTTATATGAAGATATTCCCGTTTCCAACGAATTCTTCAAATCTATCTAAATATCAACTTGCAGGTTCTACTAAAGGAATGTTTCCAAAATGCTGTATCCAAGCAATGGTTCAACTCTGTTAATTGAGGACATACAGCACAAAGAAGTTTCTGAGAATGCTTCTGTCTAGATTTTATATGAAGATATCCCGTTTCCAACGAAATCCTCAAAGCTATCCAAATATCCACTTGCAGATTCTACAAAAAGATTGTTTCAAAACTGCTGTGTCAAAAGGAAGGTTCAACTCTGTTACTTGAGTACACACATCAAAAAGCAGTTTCTGAGAATGCTTGTTTCTGGTTTTTATGAGAAGATATTTCCTTTTTCACCATAGGCCTCAAAGCGCTGCAAATGTCCACTTCCAAATATTACAAAAAGAGTGTTTCAAACCTGCTCTATGAAAGGAAGTTTTCAACTCTGTGAGTGAAATGCAAACATCACAGAGAAGTTTCTGAGAATGCATCTGTCTTGAGTTTATATGAAGAAATTCAAGTTTCCAATGAAATCTTAAAATCTATCCAAATATCCACCTGCAGATTCTACAAAAGAGTGCTTCCAAAATGCTATATCAAAACAAAGGTTCAACTGTGTTCGTTGAGAACACACATCACAAATAAGTTTCTGAGAATCCTTCTGTCTAGTTTTTATTTCAAGATATTTCGTTTCTCCCCATAGGCCTGAAAGCGCTTGAAATGTCCACTTCCAGATACTACAGAGTGTTTCAAACCTGCACTATGAAAAGGAATGTTCAATTCTGTGACTTGAATGCAAACATCAGAAAGAAGTTCCTGAGAATGCTTCTCTCTAGATTTTAAACGTAATCCCGTTTCCAACGAAATCCACAAAGCTATCCAATTATCCACTTTCAGATTCCACCAAAAGACTGTTTTAAAACTGCTCTGTAAAAAGAAATGTTCAACGCTCTTTGTTGAATACACACATCTCAAACAAGTTTCTGAGAAGGCTTCTGTCTAGTTTTTATGGGAAGATATTTCCTTTTAACCATAGGCCTCAAAGAGCTCGAAATATCCACTTCCAGGTAGTGCCGAAAGAGTGTTTCAAACCTACTCTATAAAAGGGAATATTCAACTCTGTGACTTGAATGCAAACATCACAAAGCAGTTTCTGAGAATGCTTCCGTCTAGATTTTCTATGAAGATATTCCCGTTTCCAACGAAATCTTCAAAGCTATCTAAATATCAACTTGCAGATTCTACTAAAGGAATGTTTCCAAAATGCTGTATCCAAACAAAGGTTCAGCTCTGTGAATTGAGGACATACAGCACAAAGAAGTTTCTGAGAATGCTCCTGTCTGGATTTTATATGAAGATAACCCGTTTCCAACGAAATCCTCAAAGCTATCCAAATATCCACTTGCAGATTCTACAAAAAGAGTGTTTCAAAACTGCTCTGTCAAAAGGAAGGTTCAACACTGTTACTTGAGTACACACAAAACAAAGAAGTTTCTGAGAATGCTTGTTTCTGGTTTTTATGAGAAGATATTTCCTTTTTCACCATAGGCCTCAAAGCGCTGCAAATGTCCACTTCCAAATATTACAAAAAGAGTGTTTCAAACCTGCTCTATGAAAGGAAGTTTTCAACTCTATGAGTGGAATGCAAACATCACAGAGAAGTTTCTGAGAATGCATCTGTCTTGAGTTTATGTGAAGAAATTCCCGTTTCCAACGAAATCTTAAAATCTATCCAAATATCCACCTGCAGATCCTTCAAAAGGAGTGTTTCCAAAATGCTGTATCAAAACAAAGGTTCAACTGTGTTCGTTTAGGACACACATCACAAATAAGTTTCTGAGAATCCTTCTGTCTAGTTTTTATTTGAAGATATTTCCTTTCTCCCCGTAGGCCTGAAAGCGCTTGAAATGTCCACTTCCAGATACTACAGAAAGAGTGTTTCAAACCTGCACTCTGAAAAGGAATGTTCAATTCTGTGACTTGAATGCAAACATCAGAAAGAAGTTCCTGAGAATGCTTCTCTCTAGATTTTATACGTCATCCCGTTTCAAACGAAATCCACAAAGCTATCCAATTATCCACTTTCAGATTCCACAAAAAGAGTGTTTTAAAATTGCTCTGTAACAGAAATGTTCAACTCTGTTAGTTGAATACACACATCACAAACTAGTTTCTGAGACGGCTTCTGTCTAGTTTTTATGGGAAGATATTTCCTTTTAACCATAGGCCTCAAAGAGCTCGAAATATCCACTTCCAGGTAGTGCCGAAAGAGTGTTTCAAACCTACTCTATAAAAGGGAATATTCAACTCTGTGACTTGAATGCAAACATCACAAAGCAGTTTCTGAGAATGCTTCCGTCTAGATTTTCTATGAAGATATTCCCGTTTCCAACGAAATCTTCAAAGCTATCTAAATATCAACTTGCAGATTGTACTAAAGGAATGTCTCCAAAATGCTGTATCCAAACAAAGGTTCAGCTCTGTGAATTGAGGACATACAGCACAAAGAAGTTTCTGAGAATGCTCCTGTCTGGATTTTATAGGAAGATAACCCGTTTCCAACGAAATCCTCAAAGCTATCCAAATATCCACTTGCAGATTCTACCAAAAGAGTGTTTCAAAACTGCTCTGTCAAAAGGAAGGTTCAACACTGTTACTTGAGTACACACAACACAAAGAAGTTTCTGAGAATGCTTCTTTCTGGTTTTTATGAGAAGATATTTCCTTTTTCACCATAGGCCTCAAAGCGCTCGAAATGTCCGCTTCCAGGTAGTGCAGAAAGAGTGTTTCAAACCTGCTCTATGAAAGGAAGTGTTCAACTCTACTGAGTTGAATGCAAACATCACAGAGATGTTTCCGAGAATGCTTCTGTCTTGATTTTATATGAAGATATTCCGGTTTCCAACGAAATCTTCAAAGCTATCCAAATATCCACCTGCAGATTCTACAAAAGGAGTGTTTCCAAAATGCTGTATCAAAACAAAGGTTCAACTCTGTTAGTTGAGGACACACATCACAAATAAGTTTCTGAGAATGCTTCTGTCTAGTTTTTATTTGAAGGTATTTCCTTTCTCTCCATAGGCCTGAAAGCGCTTGAAATGCCCACTTCCAGATACTAGAGAAAGAGTGTTTCAAACCTGCTCTATGAAAGGGAATGTTCAATTCTGTGACTTGAATGCAAACATCACAAAGAAGTTCCTGAGAATGCTTCTCTCTAGATATTATATGTCATCCCGTTTCCAACGAAATCCTCAAAGCTATCCAAATATCCACTTGCAGATTCTACAAAAAGAGTGTTTCAAAACTCCTCTGTCAAAAGGATGGTTCAACACTGTTACATGAGTACACACAACACAAAGAAGTTTCTGAGAATGCTTCTTTCTGGTTTCTATGAGAAGATATTTCCTTTTTCACCATAGGACTCAAAGCGCTCGAAATGTCCTCTTCCAGGTAGTGCAGAAAGAGTGTTTCAAACCTGCTCTATGAAAGGAAGTGTTCAACTCCATGAGCTGAATGCAAACATCACTGAGAAGTTTCTGAGAATGCTTCTGTTTGATTTTATATGAAGAAATTCCCGTTTCCAACGAAATCTTCAGAGCTATCCACATATCCACCTGCAGATTCTACAAAAGGAGTGTTTCCAAAATGCTGTATCAAAACCAAGGTTCAACTCTGTTAGTTGAGGACACACATCACAAATAAGTTTCTGAGAATGCTTCTGTCTAGATTTTATATGAAGATATCCCCTTTCCAACGAATCCCTCTAAGCTATCCAAATATCCACCTGCAGATTCTACAAAAAGAGTGTTTCCAAAATGCTGTATCAAAACAAAGTTTCAACTCTGTTCGTTGAGGACACACATCACAAATAAGTTTGAGGATGCTTCTGTCTAGTTTTTATTCGAAGATATTTCCTTTCTCACCATAGGCCTGAAAGCGCTTGAAATGTCCACTTCCAGATACTACAGAATGAGTGTTTCAAACCTGCTCTATCAAAGTGAATGTTCAATTCTGTGACTTCAATGCAAACATCACAAAGAAGTTCCTGAGAATGCTTCTCTCTAGATTTTATACGTAATCCCGCTTCCAACGAAATCCTCAGAGCCATCCGAATATCCACTTTCTGATTCCACAAAAAGAGTGTTTTAAAACGGCTCTGTAAAAACAAAAGTTCAACTCTGTTAGTTGAATACACACATCACAAACATGTTTCTGAGAATGCTTCTGTCTAGTTTTTATGGGAAGATATTTCCTTTTTCACCATAGGCCTCAAAGCGCTCGAAATGTCCGCTTCCAGATAGTGCAGAAAGAGTGTTTCAAACGTGCTCTATAAAAGGGAATATTCAACTCTGTGACTTGAATGGAAACATCACAAAGCAGTTTCTGAGAATGCTTCCGTCTAGATTTTATATGAAGATATTCCCGTTTCCAACGAAATCTTCAAATCTATCTAAATATCAACTTGCAGATTCTACTAAAGGAATGTTTCCAAAATGCTGTATCCAAGCAATGGTTCAACTCTGTTAATTGAGGACATACAGCACAAAATAGTTTCTGAGAATGCTTCTGTCTAGATTTTATATGAAGATATCCCGTTTCCAACGAAATCCTCAAAGCTATCCAAATATCCACTTGCAGATTCTACAAAAAGATTGTTTCAAAACTGCTGTGTCAAAAGGAAGGTTCAACTCTGTTACTTGAGTACACACATCAAAAAGCAGTTTCTGAGAATGCTTGTTTCTGGTTTTTATGAGAAGATATTTCCTTTTTCACCATAGGCCTCAAAGCGCTGCAAATGTCCACTTCCAAATATTACAAAAAGAGTGTTTCAAACCTGCTCTATGAAAGGAAGTTTTCAACTCTGTGAGTGGAATGCAAACATCACAGAGAAGTTTCTGAGAATGCATCTGTCTTGAGTTTATATGAAGAAATTCCCGTTTCCAATGAAATCTTAAAATCTATCCAAATATCCACCTGCAGATTCTACAAAAGGAGTGTTTCCAAAATGCTGTATCAAAACAAAGGTTCAACTGTGTTCGTTGAGAACACACATCACAAATAAGTTTCTGAGAATCCTTCTGTCTAGTTTTTATTTCAAGATATTTCCTTTCTCCCCATAGGCTTGAAAGCGCTTGAAATGTCCACTTCCAGATACTACAGAGTGTTTCAAACCTGCACTATGAAAAGGAATGTTCAATTCTGTGACTTGAATGCAAACATCAGAAAGAAGTTCCTGAGAATGCTTCTCTCTAGATTTTAAACGTAATCCCGTTTCCAACGAAATCCACAAAGCTATCCAATTATCCACTTTCAGATTGCACCAAAAGAGTGTTTTAAAACTGCTCTGTAAAAAGAAATGTTCAACGCTCTTAGTTGAATACACACATCTCAAACAAGTTTCTGAGAAGGCTTCCGTCTAGTTTTTACAGGAAGATATTTCCTTTTTCACCATAGGCCTCAAAGCGCTCGAAATCTCCACTTCCAGGGAGTGCAGAAAGAGTGTTTCAAACCTGCTCTATAAAAGAATATTTAACTCTGTGACTTGAATGCAAACATCACAGAGCAGTTTCTGACAATGCTTCCGTCTAGATTTTTTATGAAGATATTCCCGTTTCCAACGAAATCTTCAAAGCTATCTAAATATCAACTTGCAGATTCTACTAAAGGAATGTTTCCAAAATGCTGTATCCAAACAAAGGTTCAACTCTGTGAATTGAGGACATACAGCACAAAGAAGTTTCTGAGAATGCTTCTGTCTAGATTTAATATGAAGATAACCCGTTTCCAACGAAATCCTCAAAGCTATCCAAATATCCACTGGCAGATTCTACAAAAAGAGTGTTTCAAAACTGCTCTGTCAAAAGGATGGTTCAACACTGTTACATGAGTACACACAACACAAAGAAGTTTCTGAGAACGCTTCTTTCTGGTTTTTATGAGAGGATATTTCCTTTTTCACCATAGGCCTCAAAGCGCTCGAAATGTCCACTTCCAGGTAGTGCAGAAAGAGTGTTTCAAACCTGCTCTATGAAAGGAAGTGTTCAACTCCATGAACTGAATGCAAACATCACAGAGAAGTTCCTGAGAATGCTTCTGTTTCATTTTATATGAAGAAATTCCCGTTTCCAACGAAATCTTCAAAGCTATCCACATATCCACCTGCAGATTCTATAAAAGGAGTGTTTCCGAAATGCTGTATCAAAACCAAGGTTCAACTCTGTTAGTTGAGGACACACATCACAAATAAGTTTCTGAGAATGCTTCTGTCTAGATTTTATATGAAGATATCCCCTTTCCAACGAATCCCTCTAAGCTATCCAAATATCCACCTGCAGATTCTACAAAAAGAGTGTTTCCAAAATGCTGTATCAAAACAAAGTTTCAACTCTGTTAGTTGAGGACACACATCACAAGTAAGTTTCTGAGGAGGCTTCTGTCTAGTTTTTATTTGAAGATATTTCCTTTCTCACCATAGGCCTGAAAGCGCTTGAAATGTCCGCTTCCAGATACTACAGAATGAGTGTTTCAAACCTTCTCTATCAAAGTGAATGTTCAATTCTGTGACTTCAATGCAAACATCACAAAGAAGTTCCTGAGAATGCTTCTCTCTAGATTTTATATGTAATCCTGCTTCCAAAGAAGTCCTCAAAGCCATCCGAATATCCACTTTATGATTCCACAAAAAGATTGTCTTAAAACTGCTCTGTAAAAACAAAAGTTCATGTCTGTTAGTTGAATACACACATCACAAACAAGTTTCTGAGAATGCTTCTGTCTAGTTTTTATGGGAAGATATTTCCTTTTTCACCATAGGCCTCACAGCGCTCGAAATGTCCACTTCCAGATAGTGCAGAAAGAGTGTTTCAAACGTGCTCTATAAAAGAGAATATTCAACTCTGTGACTTGAATGGAAACATCACAAAGCAGTTTCTGAGAATGCCTCCGTCTAGATTTTATATGAAGATATTCCCGTTTCCAACGAAATCTTCAAATCTATCTAAATATCAACTTGCAGATTCTACTAAAGGAATGTTTCCAAAATGCTGTATCCAAGCAATGGTTCAACTCTGTTAATTGAGGACATACAGCACAAAGAAGTTTCTGAGAATGCTTCTGTCTAGATTTTATATGAAGATATCCCGTTTGCAACGAAATCCTCAAAGCTATCCAAATATCCACTTGCAGATTCTACAAAAAGATTGTTTCAAATCTGCTGTGTCAAAAGGAAGGTTCAACTCTGTTACTTGAGTACACACATCAAAAAGAAGTTTCTGAGAATGCTTGTTTCTGGTTTTTATGAGAAGATATTTCCTTTTTCACCATAGGCCTCAAAGCGCTGCAAATGTCCACTTCCAAATATTACAAAAAGAGTGTTTCAAACCTGCTCTATGAAAGGAAGTTTTCAACTCTATGAGTGGAATGCAAACATCACAGAGAAGTTTCTGAGAATGCATCTGTCTTGAGTTTATATGCAGAAATTCCCGTTTCCAACGAAATCTTAAAATCTATCCAAATATCCACCTGCAGATCCTACAAAAGGAGTGTTTCCAAAATGCTGTATCAAAACAAAGGTTCAACTGTGTTCGTTTAGGACACACATCACAAATAAGTTTCTGAGAATCCTTCTGTCTAGTTTTTATTTGAAGATATTTCCTTTCTCCCCGTAGGCCTGAAAGCGCTTGAAATGTCCACTTCCAGATACTACAGAAAGAGTGTTTCAAACCTGCACTCTGAAAAGGAATGTTCAATTCTGTGACTTGAATGCAAACATCAGAAAGAAGTTCCTGAGAATGCTTCTCTCTAGATTTTATACGTCATCCCGTTTCCAACGAAATCCACAAAGCTATCCAATTATCCACTTTCAGATTCCACAGAAAGAGTGTTTTAAAATTGCTCTGTAACAGAAATGTTCAACTCTGGTAGTTGAATACACACATCACAAACAAGTTTCTGAGACGGCTTCTGTCTAGTTTTTATGGGAAGATATTTCCTTTTAACCATAGGCCTCAAAGAGCTCGAAATATCCACTTCCAGGTAGTGCCGAAAGAGTGTTTCAAACCTACTCTATAAAAGGGAATATTCAACTCTGTGACTTGAATGCAAACATCACAAAGCAGTTTCTGAGAATGCTTCCGTCTAGATTTTCTATGAAGATATTCCCGTTTCCAACGAAATCTTCAAAGCTATCTAAATATCAACTTGCAGATTCTACTAAAGGAATGTCTCCAAAATGCTGTATCCAAACAAAGGTTCAGCTCTGTGAATTGAGGACATACAGCACAAAGAAGTTTCTGAGAATGCTCCTGTCTGGATTTTATATGAAGATAACCCGTTTCCAACGAAATCCTCAAAGCTATCCAAATATCCACTTGCAGATTCTACCAAAAGAGTGTTTCAAAACTGCTCTGTCAAAAGGAAGGTTCAACACTGTTACTTGAGTACACACAACACAAAGAAGTTTCTGAGAATGCTTCTTTCTGGTTTTTATGAGAAGATATTTCCTTTTTCACCATAGGCCTCAAAGCGCTCGAAATGTCCGCTTCCAGGTAGTGCAGAAAGAGTGTTTCAAACCTGCTCTATGAAAGGAAGTGTTCAACTCTACTGAGTTGAATGCAAACATCACAGAGATGTTTCCGAGAATGCTTCTGTCTTGATTTTATATGAAGATATTCCGGTTTCCAACGAAATCTTCAAAGCTATCCAAATATCCACCTGCAGATTCTACAAAAGGAGTGTTTCCAAAATGCTGTATCAAAACAAAGGTTCAACTCTGTTAGTTGAGGACACACATCACAAATAAGTTTCTGAGAATGCTTCTGTCTAGTTTTTATTTGAAGGTATTTCCTTTCTCTCCATAGGCCTGAAAGCGCTTGAAATGCCCACTTCCAGATACTAGAGAAAGAGTGTTTCAAACCTGCTCTATGAAAGGGAATGTTCAATTCTGTGACTTGAATGCAAACATCACAAAGAAGTTCCTGAGAATGCTTCTCTCTAGATATTATATGTCATCCCGTTTCCAACGAAATCCTCAAAGCTATCCAAATATCCACTTGCAGATTCTACAAAAAGAGTGTTTCAAAACTGCTCTGTCAAAAGGATGGTTCAACACTGTTACATGAGTACACACAACACAAAGAAGTTTCTGAGAATGCTTCTTTCTGGTGTATATGAGAAGATATTTCCTTTTTCACCATAGGACTCAAAGCGCTCGAAATGTCCTCTTCCAGGTAGTGCAGAAAGAGTGTTTCAAACCTGCTCTATGAAAGGAAGTGTACAACTCCATGAGCTGAATGCAAACATCACTGAGAAGTTTCTGAGAATGCTTCTGTTTGATTTTATATGAAGAAATTCCCGTTTCCAACGAAATCTTCAGAGCTATCCACATATCCACCTGCAGATTCTACAAAAGGAGTGTTTCCAAAATGCTGTATCAAAACCAAGGTTCAACTCTGTTAGTTGAGGACACACATCACAAATAAGTTTCTGAGAATGCTTCTGTCTAGATTTTATATGAAGATATCCCCTTTCCAACGAATCCCTCTAAGCTATCCAAATATCCACCTGCAGATTCTACAAAAAGAGTGTTTCCAAAATGCTGTATCAAAACAAAGTTTCAACTCTGTTAGTTGAGGACACACATCACAAATAAGTTTGAGGATGCTTCTGTCTAGTTTTTATTCGAAGATATTTCCTTTCTCACCATAGGCCTGAAAGCGCTTGAAATGTCCACTTCCAGATACTACAGAATGAGTGTTTCAAACCTGCTCTATCAAAGTGAATGTTCAATTCTGTGACTTCAATGCAAACATCACAAAGAAGTTCCTGAGAATGCTTCTCTCTAGATTTTATACGTAATCCCGCTTCCAACGAAATCCTCAGAGCCATCCGAATATCCACTTTCTGATTCCACAAAAAGAGTGTTTTAAAACGGCTCTGTAAAAACAAAAGTTCAACTCTGTTAGTTGAATACACACATCACAAACAAGTTTCTGAGAATGCTTCTGTCTAGTTTTTATGGGAAGATATTTTCTTTTTCACCATAGGCCTCAAAGCGCTCAAAATGTCTACTTCCAGATAGTGCAGAAAGAGTGTTTCAAACGTGCTCTATAAAAGGGAATATTCAACTCTGTGACTTGAATGGAAACATCACAAAGCAGTTTCTGAGAATGCTTCCCTCTAGATTTTATATGGAGATATTCCGTTTTCGAACGAAATCTTCAAATCTATCTAAATATCAACTTGCAGATTCTACTACAGGAATGTTTCCAAAATGCTGTATGCAAGCAATGGTTCAACTCTGTTAATTGAGGTCATACAGCACAAAGAAGTTTCTGAGAATGCTTCTGTCTAGATTTTATATGAAGATATCCCGTTTCCAACGAAATCCTCAAAGCTATCCAAATATCCACTTGCAGATTCTACAAAAAGATTGTTTCAAAACTGCTGTGTCAAAAGGAAGGTTCAACTCTGTTACTTGAGTACACACATCAAAAAGAAGTTTCTGAGAATGCTTGTTTCTGGTTTTTATGAGAAGATATTTCCTTTTTCACCATAGGCCTCAAAGCGCTGCAAATGTCCACTTCCACATATTACAAAAAGAGTGTTTCAAACCTGCTCTATGAAAGGAAGTTTTCAACTCTATGAGTGGAATGCAAACATCACAGAGAAGTTTCTGAGAATGCATCTGTCTTGAGTTTATATGAAGAAATTCCCGTTTCCAACGAAATCTTAAAATCTATCCAAATATCCACCTGCAGATTCTACAAAGGGAGTGTTTCCAAAATGCTGTATCAAAACAAAGGTTCAACTGTGTTCGTTTAGGACACACATCACCAATAAGTTTCTGAGAATCCTTCTGTCTAGTTTTTAATTTGAAGATATTTCCTTTCTCCCCATAGGCCTGAAAGCGCTTGAAATGTCCACTTCCAGATAGTACAGAAAGAGTGTTTCAAACCTGCACTATGAAAAGGAATGTTCAATTCTGTGACTTGAATGCAAACATCAGAAAGAAGTTTCTGAGAATGCTTCTCTCTAGATTTTATACGTAATCCCGTTTCCAAAGAAATCCACAAAGCTATCCAATTATCCACTTTCAGATTCCACAAAAAGAGTGTTTTAAAACTGCTCTGTAAAAAGAAATGTTCAACGCTCTTAGTTGAATACACACATCTCAAACAAGTTTCTGAGAAGGCTTCCGTCTAGTTTTTATGGGAAGATATTTCCTTTTTCACCATAGGCCTCAAAGCGCTCGAAATCTCCACTTCCAGGGAGTGCAGAAAGAGTGTTTCAAACCTGCTCTGTAAAAGAATATTTAACTCTGTGACTTGAATGCAAACATCACAAAGCAGTTTCTGACAATGCTTCCGTCTAGATTTTTTATGAAGATATTCCCGTTTCCAACGAAATCTTCAAAGCTATCTAAATATCAACGTGCAGATTCTACTAAAGGAATGTTTCCAAAATGCTGTATCCAAACAAAGGTTCAACTCTGTGAATTGAGGACATACAGCACAAAGAAGTTTCTGAGAATGCTTCTGTCTAGATTTAATATGAATATAAACCGTTTCCAACGAAATCCTCAAAGCTATCCAAATATCCACTTGCAGATTCTACAAAAAGAGTGTTTCAAAACTGCTCTGTCAAAAGGATGGTTCAACACTGTTACATGAGTACACACAACACAAAGAAGTTTCTGAGAACGCTTCTTTCTGGTTTTTATGAGAAAATATTTCCTTTTTCACCATAGTCCTCAAAGCGCTCGAAATGTCCACTTCCTGGTAGTGCAGAAAGAGTGTTTCAAACCTGCTCTATGAAAGGAAGTGTTCAACTCCATGAGCTGAATGCAAACATCACAGAGAAGTTTCTGAGAATGCTTCTGTTTGATTTTATATGAAGAAATTCCCGTTTCCAACGAAATCTTCAAAGCTATCCACATATCCACCTGCAGATTCTACAAAAGGAGTGTTTCCAAAATGCTGTATCAAAACCAAGGTTCAACTCTGTTAGTTGAGGACACACATCACAAATAAGTTTCTGAGAATGCTTCTGTCTAGATTTTATATGAAGATATCCCCTTTCCAACGAATCCCTCTAAGCTATCCAAATATCCACCTGCAGATTCTACAAAAAGAGTGTTTCCAAAATGCTGTATCAAAACAAAGTTTCAACTCTGTTAGTTGAGGACACACATCACAAATAAGTTTCTGAGGATGCTTCTGTCTAGTTTTTATTCGAAGATATTTCCTTTCTCACCATAGGCCTGAAAGCGCTTGAAATGTCCACTTCCAGATACTACAGAATGAGTGTTTCAAACCTGCTCTATAAAAGTGAATGTTCAATTCTGTGACTTCAATGCAAACATCACAAAGAAGTTCCTGAGAATGCTTCTCTCTAGATTTTATATGTAATCCCGCTTCCAACGAAATCCTCAGAGCCATCCGAATATCCACTTTCTGATTCCACAAAAAGAGTGTTTTAAAACGGCTCTGTAAAAACAAAAGTTCAACTCTGTTAGTTGAATACACACATCACAAACAAGTTTCTGAGAATGCTTCTGTCTAGTTTTTATGGGAAGATATTTCCTTTTTCACCATAGGCCTCAAAGCGCTCGAAATGTCCACTTCCAGATAGTGCAGAAAGATTGTTTCAAACGTGCTCTATAAAAGGGAATATTCAACTCTGTGACTTGAATGGAAACATCATAAAGCAGTTTCTGAGAATGCTTCCCTCTAGATTTTATATGGAGATATTCCCTTTTCCAACGAAATCTTCAAATCTATCTAAGTATCAACTTGCAGATTCTACTCAAGGAATGTTTCCAAAATGCTGTATCCAAGCAATGGTTCAACTCTGTTAATTGAGGACATACAGCACAAAGAAGTTTCTGAGAATGCTTCTGTCTAGATTTTATATGAAGATATCCCGTTTCCAACGAAATCATCAAAGCTATCCAAATATCCACTTGCAGATTCTACAAAAAGATTGTTTCAAAACTGCTGTGTCAAAAGGAAGGTTCAACTCTGTTACTTGAGTACACACATCAAAAAGAAGTTTCTGAGAATGCTTGTTTCTGGTTTTTATGAGAAGATATTTCCTTTTTCACCATAGGCCTCAAAGCGCTGCAAATGTCCACTTCCAAATATTACAAAAAGAGTGTTTCAAACCTGCTCTATGAAAGGAAGTTTTCAACTCTATGAGTGGAATGCAAACATCACAGAGAAGTTTCTGAGAATGCATCTGTCTTGAGCTTCTATGAAGAAATTCCCGTTTCCAACGAAATCTTAAAATCTATCCAAATATCCACCTGCAGATCCTACAAAAGGAGTGTTTCCAAAATGCTGTATCAAAACAAAGGTTCAACTGTGTTCGTTTAGGACACACATCACAAATAAGTTTCTGAGAATCCTTCTGTCTAGTTTTTATTTGAAGATATTTCCTTTCTCCCCGTAGGCCTGAAAGCGCTTGAAATGTCCACTTCCAGATACTACAGAAAGAGTGTTTCAAACCTGCACTCTGAAAAGGAATGTTCAATTCTGTGACTTGAATGCAAACATCAGAAAGAAGTTCCTGAGAATGCTTCTCTCTAGATTTTTTATGTAATCTGGCTTCCAACGAAATCCTCAGAGCCATCCGAATATCCACTTTCTGATTCCACAAAAACAGTGCTTTAAAACTGCTCTGTAAAAACAAAAGTTCAAATCTGTTAGTTGAATACACACATCACAGACAAGTTTCTGAGAATGCTTCTGTCTAGTTTTTATGGGAAGATATTTCCTTTTAACCATAGGCCTCATAAGAGCTCGAAATATCCACTTCCAGGTAGTGCCGAAAGAGTGTTTCAAACCTACTCTATAAAAGGGAATATTCAACTCTGTGACTTGAATGCAAACATCACAAAGCAGTTTCTGAGAATGCTTCCGTCTAGATTTTTTATGAAGATATTCCCGTTTCCAACGAAATCTTCAAAGCTATCTAAATATCAACTTGCAGATTCTACTAAAGGAATGTTTCCAAAATGCTGTATCCAAACAAAGGTTCAACTCTGTGAATTGAGGACATACAGCACAAAGAAGTTTCTGAGAATGCTCCTGTCTGGATTTTATAGGAAGATAACCCGTTTCCAACGAAATCCTCAAAGCTATCCAAATATCCACTTGCAGATTCTACCAAAAGAGTGTTTCAAAACTGCTCTGTCAAAAGGAAGGTTCAACACTGTTACTTGAGTACACACAACACAAAGAAGTTTCTGAGAATGCTTCTTTCTGGTTTTTATGAGAAGATATTTCCTTTTTCACCATAGGCCTCAAAGCGCTCGAAATGTCCGCTTCCAGGTAGTGCAGAGAGAGTGTTTCAAACCTGCTCTATGAAAGGAAGTGTTCAACTCTACTGAGTTGAATGCAAACATCACAGAGATGTTTCCGAGAATGCTTCTGTCTTGATTTTATATGAAGATATTCCGGTTTCCAACGAAATCTTCAAAGCTATCCAAATATCCACCTGCAGATTCTACAAAAGGAGTGTTTCCAAAATGCTGTATCAAAACAAAGGTTCAACTCTGTTAGTTGAGGACACACATCACAAATAAGTTTCTGAGAATGCTTCTGTCTAGTTTTTATTTGAAGGTATTTCCTTTCTCTCCATAGGCCTGAAAGCGCTTGAAATGCCCACTTCCAGATACTAGAGAAAGAGTGTTTCAAACCTGCTCTATGAAAGGGAATGTTCAATTCTGTGACTTGAATGCAAACATCACAAAGAAGTTCCTGAGAATGCTTCTCTCTAGATTTTATACGTAATCCCGCTTCCAACGAAATCCTCAGAGCCATCCGAATATCCACTTTCTGATTCCACAAAAAGAGTGTTTTAAAACGGCTCTGTAAAAACAAAAGTTCAACTCTGTTAGTTGAATACACACATCACAAACAAGTTTCTGAGAATGCTTTCTGTCTAGTTTTTATGGGAAGATATTTCCTTTTTCACCATAGGCCTCAAAGCGCTCGAAATGTCCGCTTCCAGATAGTGCAGAAAGAGTGTTTCAAACGTGCTCTATAAAAGGGAATATTCAACTCTGTGACTTGAATGGAAACATCACAAAGCAGTTTCTGAGAATGCTTCCCTCTAGATTTTATATGGAGATATTCCCTTTTCCAACGAAATCTTCAAATCTATCTAAATATCAACTTGCAGATTCTACTCAAGGAATGTTTCCAAAATGCTGTATCCAGGCAATGGTTCAACTCTGTTAATTGAGGACATACAGCACAAAGAAGTTTCTGAGAATGCTTCTGTCTAGATTTTATATGAAGATATCCCGTTTCCAACGAAATCCTCAAAGCTATCCAAATATCCACTTGCAGATTCTACAAAAAGATTGTTTCAAAACTGCTGTGTCAAAAGGAAGGTTCAACTCTGTTACTTGAGTACACACATCAAAAAGAAGTTTCTGAGAATGCTTGTTTCCGGTTTTTATGAGAAGATATTTCCTTTTTCACCATAGGCCTCAAAGCGCTGCAAATGTCCACTTCCAAATATTACAAAAAGAGTGTTTCAAACCTGCTCTATGAAAGGAAGTTTTCAACTCTATGAGTGGAATGCAAACATCACAGAGAAGTTTCTGAGAATGCATCTGTCTTGAGTTTATGTGAAGAAATTCCCGTTTCCAACGAAATCTTAAAATCTATCCAAATATCCACCTGCAGATCCTACAAAAGGAGTGTTTCCAAAATGCTGTATCAAAACAAAGGTTCAACTGTGTTCGTTTAGGACACACATCACAAATAAGTTTCTGAGAATCCTTCTGTCTAGTTTTTATTTGAAGATATTTCCTTTCTCCCCGTAGGCCTGAAAGCGCTTGAAATGTCCACTTCCAGATACTACAGAAAGAGTGTTTCAAACCTGCACTCTGAAAAGGAATGTTCAATTCTGTGACTTGAATGCAAACATCAGAAAGAAGTTCCTGAGAATGCTTCTCTCTAGATTTTATACGTCATCCCGTTTCCAACGAAATCCACAAAGCTATCCAATTATCCACTTTCAGATTCCACAAAAAGAGTGTTTTAAAATTGCTCTGTAACAGAAATGTTCAACTCTGTTAGTTGAATACACACATCACAAACAAGTTTCTGAGACGGCTTCTGTCTAGTTTTTATGGGAAGATATTTCCTTTTAACCATAGGCCTCAAAGAGCTCGAAATATCCACTTCCAGGTAGTGCCGAAAGAGTGTTTCAAACCTACTCTATAAAAGGGAATATTCAACTCTGTGACTTGAATGCAAACATCACTGAGAAGTTTCTGAGAATGCTTCCGTCTAGATTTTCTATGAAGATATTCCCGTTTCCAACGAAATCTTCAAAGCTATCTAAATATCAACTTGCAGATTCTACTAAAGGAATGTCTCCAAAATGCTGTATCCAAACAAAGGTTCAGCTCTGTGAATTGAGGACATACAGCACAAAGAAGTTTCTGAGAATGCTCCTGTCTGGATTTTATATGAAGATAACCCGTTTCCAACGAAATCCTCAAAGCTCTCCAAATATCCACTTGCAGATTCTACCAAAAGAGTGTTTCAAAACTGCTCTGTCAAAAGGAAGGTTCAACACTGTTACTTGAGTACACACAACACAAAGAAGTTTCTGAGAATGCTTCTTTCTGGTTTTTATGAGAAGATATTTCCTTTTTCACCATAGGCCTCAAAGCGCTCGAAATGTCCGCTTCCAGGTAGTGCAGAAAGAGTGTTTCAAACCTGCTCTATGAAAGGAAGTGTTCAACTCTACTGAGTTGAATGCAAACATCACAGAGATGTTTCCGAGAATGCTTCTGTCTTGATTTTATATGAAGATATTCCGGTTTCCAACGAAATCTTCAAAGCTATCCAAATATCCACCTGCAGATTCTACAAAAGGAGTGTTTCCAAAATGCTGTATCAAAACAAAGGTTCAACTCTGTTAGTTGAGGACACACATCACAAATAAGTTTCTGAGAATGCTTCTGTCTAGTTTTTATTTGAAGGTATTTCCTTTCTCTCCATAGGCCTGAAAGCGCTTGAAATGCCCACTTCCAGATACTAGAGAAAGAGTGTTTCAAACCTGCTCTATGAAAGGGAATGTTCAATTCTGTGACTTGAATGCAAACATCACAAAGAAGTTCCTGAGAATGCTTCTCTCTAGATATTATATGTCATCCCGTTTCCAACGAAATCCTCAAAGCTATCCAAATATCCACTTGCAGATTCTACAAAAAGAGTGTTTCAAAACTGCTCTGTCAAAAGGATGGTTCAACACTGTTACATGAGTACACACAACACAAAGAAGTTTCTGAGAATGCTTCTTTCTGGTTTCTATGAGAAGATATTTCCTTTTTCACCATAGGACTCAAAGCGCTCGAAATGTCCTCTTCCAGGTAGTGCAGAAAGAGTGTTTCAAACCGGCTCTATGAAAGGAAGTGTTCAACTCCATGAACTGAATGCAAACATCACTGAGAAGTTTCTGAGAATGCTTCTGTTTGATTTTATATGAAGAAATTCCCGTTTCCAACGAAATCTTCAGAGCTATCCACATATCCACCTGCAGATTCTACAAAAGGAGTGTTTCCAAAATGCTGTATCAAAACCAAAGTTCAACTCTGTTAGTTGAGGACACACATCACAAATAAGTTTCTGAGAATGCTTCTGTCTAGATTCTATATGAAGATATCCCCTTTCCAACGAATCCCTCTAAGCTATCCAAATATCCACCTGCAGATTCTACAAAAAGAGTGTTTCCAAAATGCTGTATCAAAACAAAGTTTCAACTCTGTTAGTTGAGGACACACATCACAAATAAGTTTGAGGATGCTTCTGTCTAGTTTTTATTCGAAGATATTTCCTTTCTCACCATAGGCCTGAAAGCGCTTGAAATGTCCACTTCCAGATACTACAGAATGAGTGTTTCAAACCTGCTCTATCAAAGTGAATGTTCAATTCTGTGACTTCAATGCAAACATCACAAAGAAGTTCCTGAGAATGCTTCTCTCTAGATTTTATATGTAATCCCGCTTCCAACGAAATCCTCAGAGCCATCCGAATATCCACTTTCTGATTCCACAAAAAGAGTGTTTTAAAACGGCTCTGTAAAAACAAAAGTTCAACTCTGTTAGTTGAATACACACATCACAAACAAGTTTCTGAGAATGCTTCTGTCTAGTTTTTATGGGAAGATATTTCCTTTTTCACCATAGGCCTCAAAGCGCTCGAAATGTCCACTTCCAGATAGCGCAGAAAGAGTGTTTCAAACGTGCTCTATAAAAGGGAATATTCAACTCTGTGACTTGAATGGAAACATCACAAAGCAGTTTCTGAGAATGCTTCCCTCTAGATTTTATATGGAGATATTCCGTTTTCGAACGAAATCTTCAAATCTATCTAAATATCAACTTGCAGATTCTACTCAAGGAATGTTTCCAAAATGCTGTATGCAAGCAATGGTTCAACTCTGTTAATTGAGGTCATACAGCACAAAGAAGTTTCTGAGAATGCTTCTGTCTAGATTTTATATGAAGATATCCCGTTTCCAACGAAATCCTCAAAGCTATCCAAATATCCACTTGCAGATTCTACAAAAAGATTGTTTCAAAACTGCTGTGTCAAAAGGAAGGTTCAACTCTGTTACTTGAGTACACACATCAAAAAGAAGTTTCTGAGAATGCTTGTTTCTGGTTTTTATGAGAAGATATTTCCTTTTTCACCATAGGCCTCAAAGCGCTGCAAATGTCCACTTCCAAATATTACAAAAAGAGTGTTTCAAACCTGCTCTATGAAAGGAAGTTTCCAACTCTATGAGTGGAATGCAAACATCACAGAGAAGTTTCTGAGAATGCATCTGTCTTGAGTTTATATGAAGAAATTCCCGTTTCCAATGAAATCTTAAAATCTATCCAAATATCCACCGGCAGATTCTACAAAAGGAGTGTTTCCAAAATGCTGTATCAAAACAAAGGTTCAACTGTGTTCGTTTAGGACACACATCACAAATAAGTTTCTGAGAATCCTTCTGTCTAGTTTTTATTTCAAGATATTTCCTTTCTCCCCATAGGCTTGAAAGCGCTTGAAATGTCCACTTCCAGATACTACAGAGTGTTTCAAACCTGCACTATGAAAAGGAATGTTCAATTCTGTGACTTGAATGCAAACATCAGAAAGAAGTTCCTGAGAATGCTTCTCTCTAGATTTTAAACGTAATCCCGTTTCCAACGAAATCCACAAAGCTATCCAATTATCCACTTTCAGATTGCACCAAAAGAGTGTTTTAAAACTGCTCTGTAAAAAGAAATGTTCAACGCTCTTAGTTGAATACACACATCTCAAACAAGTTTACTGAGAAGGCTTTCCGTCTAGTTTTTACAGGAAGATATTTCCTTTTTCACCATAGGCCTCAAAGCGCTCGAAATCTCCACTTCCAGGGAGTGCAGAAAGAGTGTTTCAAACCTGCTCTATAAAAGAATATTTAACTCTGTGACTTGAATGCAAACATCACAGAGCAGTTTCTGACAATGCTTCCGTCTAGATTTTTTATGAAGATATTCCCGTTTCCAACGAAATCTTCAAAGCTATCTCAATATCAACTTGCAGATTCTACTAAAGGAATGTTTCCAAAATGCTGTATCCAAACAAAGGTTCAACTCTGTGAATTGAGGACATACAGCACAAAGAAGTTTCTGAGAATGCTTCTGTCTAGATTTAATATGAAGATAACCCGTTTCCAACGAAATCCTCAAAGCTATCCAAATATCCACTGGCAGATTCTACAAAAAGAGTGTTTCAAAACTGCTCTGTCAAAAGGATGGTTCAACACTGTTACATGAGTACACACAACACAAAGAAGTTTCTGAGAACGCTTCTTTCTGGTTTTTATGAGAGGATATTTCCTTTTTCACCATAGGCCTCAAAGCGCTCGAAATGTCCACTTCCAGGTAGTGCAGAAAGAGTGTTTCAAACCTGCTCTATGAAAGGAAGTGTTCAACTCCATGAGCTGAATGCAAACATCACAGAGAAGTTCCTGAGAATGCTTCTGTTTGATTTTATATGAAGAAATTCCCGTTTCCAACGAAATCTTCAAAGCTATCCACATATCCACCTGCAGATTCTTCAAAAGGAGTGTTTCCAAAATGCTGTATCAAAACCAAGGTTCAACTCTGTTAGTTGAGGACACACATCACAAATAAGTTTCTGAGAATGCTTCTGTCTAGATTTTATATGAAGATATCCCCTTTCCAACGAATCCCTCTAAGCTATCCAAATATCCACCTGCAGATTCTACAAAAAGAGTGTTTCCAAAATGCTGTATCAAAACAAAGTTTCCACTCTGTTAGTTGAGGACACACATCACAAATAAGTTTCTGAGGATGCTTCTGTCTAGTTTTTATTTGAAGATATTTCCTTTCTCACCATAGGCCTGAAAGCGCTTGAAATGTCCACTTCCAGATACTACAGCATGAGTGTTTCAAACCTGCTCTATCATAGTGAATGTTCAATTCTGTGACTTCAATGCAAACATCACAAAGTAGTTCCTGAGAATGCTTCTCTCTAGATTTTATATGTAATCACGCTTCCAACGAAATCCTCAAAGCCATCCGAATATCCACTTTCTGATTCCACAAAAAGATTGTTTTAAAACTGCTCTGTAAAAACAAAAGTTCAAGTCTGTTAGTTGAATACACACATCACAAACAAGTTTCTGAGAATGCTTCTGTCTAGTTTTTATGGGAAGATATTTCCTTTTTCACCATAGGCCTCAAAGCGCTCGAAATGTCCACTTCCAGATAGTGCAGAAAGAGTGTTTCAAACGTGCTCTATAAAAGAGAATATTCAACTCTGTGACTTGAATGGAAACATCACAAAGCAGTTTCTGAGAATGCCTCCGTCTAGAATTTTATATGAAGATATTCCCGTTTCCAACGAAATCTTCAATGCTATCTAAATATCAACTTGCAGATTCTACTAAAGGAATGTTTCCAAAATGCTGTATCCAAGCAATGGTTCAACTCTGTTAATTGAGGACATACAGCACAAAGAAGTTTCTGAGAATGCTTCTGTCTAGATTTTATATGAAGATATCCCGTTTGCAACGAAATCCTCAAAGCTATCCAAATATCCACTTGCAGATTCTACAAAAAGATTGTTTCAAAACTGCTGTGTCAAAAGGAAGGTTCAACTCTGTTACTTGAGTACACACATCAAAAAGCAGTTTCTGAGAATGCTTGTTTCTGGTTTTTATGAGAAGATATTTCCTTTTTCACCATAGGCCTCAAAGCGCTGCAAATGTCCACTTCCAAATATTACAAAAAGAGTGTTTCAAACCTGCTCTATGAAAGGAAGTTTTCAACTCTGTGAGTGGAATGCAAACATCACAGAGAAGTTTCTGAGAATGCATCTGTCTTGAGTTTATATGAAGAAATTCCCGTTTCCAATGAAATCTTAAAATCTATCCAAATATCCACCTGCAGATTCTACAAAAGGAGTGTTTCCAAAATGCTGTATCAAAACAAAGGTTCAACTGTGTTCGTTTAGGACACACATCACAAATAAGTTTCTGAGAATCCTTCTGTCTAGTTTTTATTTCAAGATATTTCCTTTCTCCCCATAGGCCTGAAAGCGCTTGAAATGTCCACTTCCAGATACTACAGAGTGTTTCAAACCTGCACTATGAAAAGGAATGTTCAATTCTGTGACTTGAATGCAAACATCAGAAAGAAGTTCCTGAGAATGCTTCTCTCTAGATTTTAAACGTAATCCCGTTTCCAACGAAATCCACAAAGCTATCCAATTATCCACTTTCAGATTCCACCAAAAGACTGTTTTAAAACTGCTCTGTAAAAAGAAATGTTCAACGCTCTTAGTTGAATACACACATCTCAAACAAGTTTCTGAGAAGGCTTCCGTCTAGTTTTTACGGGAAGATATTTCCTTTTTCACCATAGGCCTCAAAGCGCTCGAAATCTCCACTTCCAGGGAGTGCAGAAAGAGTGTTTCAAACCTGCTCTGTAAAAGAATATTTAACTCTGTGACTTGAATGGAAACATCACAGAGCAGTTTCTGACAATGCTTCCGTCTAGATTTTTTATGAAGATATTCCCGTTTCCAACGAAATCTTCAAAGCTATCTAAATATCAACTTGCAGATTCTACTAAAGGAATGTTTCCAAAATGCTGTATCCAAACAAAGGTTCAACTCTGTGAATTGAGGACATACAGCACAAAGAAGTTTCTGAGAATGCTTCTGTCTAGATTTAATATGAAGATAACCCGTTTCCAACGAAATCCTCAAAGCTATCCAAATATCCACTGGCAGATTCTACAAAAAGAGTGTTTCAAAACTGCTCTGTCAAAAGGATGGTTCAACACTGTTACATGAGTACACACAACACAAAGAAGTTTCTGAGAACGCTTCTTTCTGGTTTTTATGAGAGGATATTTCCTTTTTCACCATAGGCCTCAAAGCGCTCGAAATGTCCACTTCCAGGTAGTGCAGAAAGAGTGTTTCAAACCTGCTCTATGAAAGGAAGTGTTCAACTCCATGAGCTGAATGCAAACATCACAGAGAAGTTCCTGAGAATGCTTCTGTTTGATTTTATATGAAGAAATTCCCGTTTCCAACGAAATCTTCAAAGCTATCCACATATCCACCTGCAGATTCTTCAAAAGGAGTGTTTCCAAAATGCTGTATCAAAACCAAGGTTCAACTCTGTTAGTTGAGGACACACATCACAAATAAGTTTCTGAGAATGCTTCTGTCTAGATTTTATATGAATTTATCCCCTTTCCAACGAATCCCTCTAAGCTATCCAAGTATCCACCTGCAGATTCTACAAAAAGAGTGTTTCCAAAATGCTGTATCAAAACAAAGTTTCAACTCTGTTAGTTGAGGACACACATCACAAATAAGTTTCTGAGGATGCTTCTGTCTAGTTTTAATTTGAAGATATTTCCTTTCTCCCCATAGGCCTGAAAGCACTTGAAATGTCCACTTCCAGATACTACAGAATGAGTGTTTCAAACCTGCTCTATCAAAGTGAATGTTCAATTCTGTGACTTCAATGCAAACATCACAAAGTAGTTCCTGAGAATGCTTCTCTCTAGATTTTATATGTAATCACGCTTCCAACGAAATCCTCAAAGCCATCCGAATATCCACTTTCTGATTCCACAAAAAGATTGTTTTAAAACTGCTCTGTAAAAACAAAAGTTCAAGTCTGTTAGTTGAATACACACATCACAAACAAGTTTCTGAGAATGCTTCTGTCTAGTTTTTATGGGAAGATATTTCCTTTTTCACCATAGGCCTCAAAGCGCTCGAAATGTCCACTTCCAGATAGTGCAGAAAGAGTGTTTCAAACGTGCTCTATAAAAGAGAATATTCAACTCTGTGACTTGAATGGAAACATCACAAAGCCGTTTCTGAGAATGCCTCCGTCTAGATTTTATATGAAGATATTCCCGTTTCCAACGAAATCTTCAAATCTATCTAAATATCAACTTGCAGATTCTACTAAAGGAATGTTTCCAAAATGCTGTGTCCAAGCAATGGTTCAACTCTGTTAATTGAGGACATACAGCACAAAGAAGTTTCTGAGAATGCTTCTGTCTAGGTTTTATATGAAGATATCCCGTTTCCAACGAAATCCTCAAAGCTATCCAAATATCCACTTGCAGATTCTACAAAAAGATTGTTTCAAAACTGCTGTGTCAAAAGGAAGGTTCAACTCTGTTACTTGAGTACACACATCAAAAAGCAGTTTCTGAGAATGCTTGTTTCTGGTTTTTATGAGAAGATATTTCCTTTTTCACCATAGGCCTCAAAGCGCTGCAAATGTCCAGTTCCAAATATTACAAAAAGAGTGTTTCAAACCTGCTCTATGAAAGGAAGTTTTCAACTCTATGAGTGGAATGCAAACATCACAGAGAAGTTTCTGAGAATGCATCTGTCTTGAGTTTATATGAAGAAATTCCCGTTTCCAATGAAATCTTAAAATCTATCCAAATATCCACCTGCAGATTCTACAAAAGGAGTGTTTCCAAAATGCTGTATCAAAACAAAGGTTCAACTGTGTTCGTTTAGGACACACATCACAAATAAGTTTCTGAGAATCCTTCTGTCTAGTTTTTATTTGAAGATATTTCCTTTCTCCCCATAAGGCCTGAAAGCGCTTGAAATGTCCACTTCCAGATACTACAGAAAGAGTGTTTCAAACCTGCACTATGAAAAGGAATGTTCAATTCTGTGACTTGAATGCAAACATCAGAAAGAAGTTCCTGAGAATGCTTCTCTCTAGATTTTATACGTCATCCCGTTTCCAATGAAATCCACAAAGCTATCCAATTATCCACTTTCAGATTCCACAAAGAGTGTTTTAAAATTGCTCTGTAACAGAAATGTTCAACTCTGTTAGTTGAATACACACATCACAAACAAGTTTCTGAGACGGCTTCTGTCTAGTTTTTATGGGAAGATATTTCCTTTTAACCATAGGCCTCAAAGAGCTCGAAATATCCACTTCCAGGTAGTGCCGAAAGAGTGTTTCAAACCTACTCTATAAAAGGGAATATTCAACTCTGTGACTTGAATGCAAACATCACAAAGCAGTTTCTGAGAATGCTTCCGTCTAGATTTTCTATGAAGATATTCCCGTTTCCAACGAAATCTTCAAAGCTATCTAAATATCAACTTGCAGATTCTACTAAAGGAATGTCTCCAAAATGCTGTATCCAAACAAAGGTTCAGCTCTGTGAATTGAGGACATACAGCACAAAGAAGTTTCTGAGAATGCTCCTGTCTGGATTTTATAGGAAGATAACCCGTTTCCAACGAAATCCTCAAAGCTATCCAAATATCCACTTGCAGATTCTACCAAAAGAGTGTTTCAAAACTACTCTGTCAAAAGGAAGGTTCAACACTGTTACTTGAGTACACACAACACAAAGAAGTTTCTGAGAATGCTTCTTTCTGGTTTTTATGAGAAGATATTTCCTTTTTCACCATAGGCCTCAAAGCGCTCGAAATGTCCGCTTCCAGGTAGTGCAGAAAGAGTGTTTCAAACCTGCTCTATGAAAGGAAGTGTTCAACTCTACTGAGTTGAATGCAAACATCACAGAGATGTTTCCGAGAATGCTTCTGTCTTGATTTTATATGAAGATATTCCGGTTTCCAACGAAATCTTCAAAGCTATCCAAATATCCACCTGCAGATTCTACAAAAGGAGTGTTTCCAAAATGCTGTATCAAAACAAAGGTTCAACTCTGTTAGTTGAGGACACACATCACAAATAAGTTTCTGAGAATGCTTCTGTCTAGTTTTTATTTGAAGGTATTTCCTTTCTCTCCATAGGCCTGAAAGCGCTTGAAATGCCCACTTCCAGATACTAGAGAAAGAGTGTTTCAAACCTGCTCTATGAAAGGGAATGTTCAATTCTGTGACTTGAATGCAAACATCACAAAGAAGTTCCTGAGAATGCTTCTCTCTAGATATTATATGTCATCCCGTTTCCAACGAAATCCTCAAAGCTATCCAAATATCCACTTGCAGATTCTACAAAAAGAGTGTTTCAAAACTCCTCTGTCAAAAGGATGGTTCAACACTGTTACATGAGTACACACAACACAAAGAAGTTTCTGAGAATGCTTCTTTCTGGTTTCTATGAGAAGATATTTCCTTTTTCACCATAGGACTCAAAGCGCTCGAAATGTCCTCTTCCAGGTAGTGCAGAAAGAGTGTTTCAAACCTGCTCTATGAAAGGAAGTGTACAACTCCATGAGCTGAATGCAAACATCACTGAGAAGTTTCTGAGAATGCTTCTGTTTGATTTTATATGAAGAAATTCCCGTTTCCAACGAAATCTTCAGAGCTATCCACATATCCACCTGCAGATTCTACAAAAGGAGTGTTTCCAAAATGCTGTATCAAAACCAAGGTTCAACTCTGTTAGTTGAGGACACACATCACAAATAAGTTTCTGAGAATGCTTCTGTCTAGATTTTATATGAAGATATCCCCTTTCCAACGAATCCCTCTAAGCTATCCAAATATCCACCTGCAGATTCTACAAAAAGAGTGTTTCCAAAATGCTGTATCAAAACAAAGTTTCAACTCTGTTAGTTGAGGACACACATCACAAATAAGTTTGAGGATGCTTCTGTCTAGTTTTTATTCGAAGATATTTCCTTTCTCACCATAGGCCTGAAAGCGCTTGAAATGTCCACTTCCAGATACTACAGAATGAGTGTTTCAAACCTGCTCTATCAAAGTGAATGTTCAATTCTGTGACTTCAATGCAAACATCACAAAGAAGTTCCTGAGAATGCTTCTCTCTAGATTTTATACGTAATCCCGCTTCCAACGAAATCCTCAGAGCCATCCGAATATCCACTTTCTGATTCCACAAAAAGAGTGTTTTAAAACGGCTCTGTAAAAACAAAAGTTCAACTCTGTTAGTTGAATACACACATCACAAACAAGTTTCTGAGAATGCTTCTGTCTAGTTTTTATGGGAAGATATTTCCTTTTTCACCATAGGCCTCAAAGCGCTCGAAATGTCCGCTTCCAGATAGTGCAGAAAGAGTGTTTCAAACGTGCTCTATAAAAGAGAATATTCAACTCTGTGACTTGAATGGAAACATCACAAAGCAGTTTCTGAGAATGCTTCCCTCTAGATTTTATATGGAGATATTCCCTTTTCCAACGAAATCTTCAAATCTATCTAAATATCAACTTGCAGATTCTACTCAAGGAATGTTTCCAAAATGCTGTATCCAGGCAATGGTTCAACTCTGTTAATTGAGGACATACAGCACAAAGAAGTTTCTGAGAATGCTTCTGTCTAGATTTTATATGAAGATATCCCGTTTCCAACGAAATCCTCAAAGCTATCCAAATATCCACTTGCAGATTCTACAAAAAGATTGTTTCAAAACTGCTGTGTCAAAAGGAAGGTTCAACTCTGTTACTTGAGTACACACATCAAAAAGAAGTTTCTGAGAATGCTTGTTTCTGGTTTTTATGAGAAGATATTTCCTTTTTCACCATAGGCCTCAAAGCGCTGCAAATGTCCACTTCCAAATATTACAAAAAGAGTGTTTCAAACCTGCTCTATGAAAGGAAGTTTTCAACTCTATGAGTGGAATGCAAACATCACAGAGAAGTTTCTGAGAATGCATCTGTCTTGAGTTTATATGCAGAAATTCCCATTTCCAACGAAATCTTAAAATCTATCCAAATATCCACCTGCAGATCCTACAAAAGGAGTGTTTCCAAAATGCTGTATCAAAACAAAGGTTCAACTGTGTTCGTTTAGGACACACATCACAAATAAGTTTCTGAGAATCCTTCTGTCTAGTTTTTATTTGAAGATATTTCCTTTCTCCCCGTAGGCCTGAAAGCGCTTGAAATGTCCACTTCCAGATACTACAGAAAGAGTGTTTCAAACCTGCACTATGAAAAGGAATGTTCAATTCTGTGACTTGAATGCAAACATCAGAAAGAAGTTCCTGAGAATGCTTCTCTCTAGATTTTATACGTCATCCCGTTTCCAACGAAATCCACAAAGCTATCCAATTATCCACTTTCAGATTCCACAAAAAGAGTGTTTTAAAATTGCTCTGTAACACAAATGTTCAACTCTGTTAGTTGAATACACACATCACAAACAAGTTTCTGAGACGGCTTCTGTCTAGTTTTTATGGGAAGATATTTCCTTTTAACCATAGGCCTCAAAGAGCTCGAAATATCCACTTCCAGGTAGTGCCGAAAGAGTGTTTCAAACCTACTCTATAAAAGGGAATATTCAACTCTGTGACTTGAATGCAAACGTCACAAAGCAGTTTCTGAGAATGCTTCCGTCTAGATTTTCTATGAAGATATTCCCGTTTCCAACGAAATCTTCAAAGCTATCTAAATATCAACTTGCAGATTCTACTAAAGGAATGTTTCCAAAATGCTGTATCCAAACAAAGGTTCAGCTCTGTGAATTGAGGACATACAGCACAAAGAAGTTTCTGAGAATGCTCCTGTCTTGATTTTATATGAAGATAACCCGTTTCCAACGAAATCCTCAAAGCTATCCAAATATCCACTTGCAGATTCTACCAAAAGAGTGTTTCAAAACTGCTCTGTCAAAAGGAAGGTTCAACACTGTTACTTGAGTACACACAACACAAAGAAGTTTCTGAGAATGCTTCTTTCTGGTTTTTATGAGAAGATATTTCCTTTTTCACCATAGGCCTCAAAGCGCTCAAAATGTCCGCTTCCAGGTAGTGCAGAAAGAGTGTTTCAAACCTGCTCTATGAAAGGAAGTGTTCAACTCTACTGAGTTGAATGCAAACATCACAGAGATGTTTCCGAGAATGCTTCTGTCTTGATTTTATAGGAAGATATTCCGGTTTCCAACGAAATCTTCAAAGCTATCCACATATCCACCTGCAGATTCTACAAAAGGAGTGTTTCCAAAATGCTGTATCAAAACAAAGGTTCAACTCTGTTAGTTGAGGACACACATCACAAATAAGTTTCTGAGAATGCTTCTGTCTAGTTTTTATTTGAAGGTATTTCCTTTCTCTCCATAGGCCTGAAAGCGCTTGAAATGCCCACTTCCAGATACTAGAGAAAGAGTGTTTCAAACCTGCTCTATGAAAGGGAATGTTCAATTCTGTGACTTGAATGCAAACATCACAAAGAAGTTCCTGAGAATGCTTCTCTCTAGATATTATATGTCATCCCGTTTCCAACGAAATCCTCAAAGCTATCCAAATATCCACTTGCAGATTCTACAAAAAGAGTGTTTCAAAACTCCTCTGTCAAAAGGATGGTTCAACACTGTTACATGAGTACACACAACACAAAGAAGTTTCTGAGAATGCTTCTTTCTGGTTTCTATGAGAAGATATTTCCTTTTTCACCATAGGACTCAAAGCGCTCGAAATGTCCTCTTCCAGGTAGTGCAGAAAGAGTGTTTCAAACCTGCTCTATGAAAGGAAGTGTTCAACTCCATGAGCTGAATGCAAACATCACTGAGAAGTTTCTGAGAATGCTTCTGTTTGATTTTATATGAAGAAATTCCCGTTTCCAACGAAATCTTCAGAGCTATCCACATATCCACCTGCAGATTCTACAAAAGGAGTGTTTCCAAAATGCTGTATCAAAACCAAGGTTCAACTCTGTTAGTTGAGGACACACATCACAAATAAGTTTCTGAGAATGCTTCTGTCTAGATTTTATATGAAGATATCCCCTTTCCAACGAATCCCTCTAAGCTATCCAAATATCCACCTGCAGATTCTACAAAAAGAGTGTTTCCAAAATGCTGTATCAAAACAAAGTTTCAACTCTGTTAGTTGAGGACACACATCACAAATAAGTTTGAGGATGCTTCTGTCTAGTTTTTATTCGAAGATATTTCCTTTCTCACCATAGGCCTGAAAGCGCTTGAAATGTCCACTTCCAGATACTACAGAATGAGTGTTTCAAACCTGCTCTATCAAAGTGAATGTTCAATTCTGTGACTTCAATGCAAACATCACAAAGAAGTTCCTGAGAATGCTTCTCTCTAGATTTTATACGTAATCCCGCTTCCAACGAAATCCTCAGAGCCATCCGAATATCCACTTTCTGATTCCACAAAAAGAGTGTTTTAAAACGGCTCTGTAAAAACAAAAGTTCAACTCTGTTAGTTGAATACACACATCACAAACAAGTTTCTGAGAATGCTTCTGTCTAGTTTTTATGGGAAGATATTTCCTTTTTCACCATAGGCCTCAAAGCGCTCGAAATGTCCACTTCCAGATAGTGCAGAAAGAGTGTTTCAAACGTGCTCTATAAAAGGGAATATTCAACTCTGTGACTTGAATGGAAACATCACAAAGCAGTTTCTGAGAATGCTTCCCTCTAGATTTTATATGGAGATATTCCCTTTTCCAACGAAATCTTCAAATCTATCTAAATATCAACTTGCAGATTCTACTCAAGGAATGTTTCCAAAATGCTGTATCCAAGCAATGGTTCAACTCTGTTAATTGAGGACATACAGCACAAAGAAGTTTCTGAGAATGCTTCTGTCTAGATTTTATATGAAGATATCCCGTTTCCAACGAAATCCTCAAAGCTATCCAAATATCCACTTGCAGATTCTACAAAAAGATTGTTTCAAAACTGCTGTGTCAAAAGGAAGGTTCAACTCTGTTACTTGAGTACACACATCAAAAAGAAGTTTCTGAGAATGCTTGTTTCTGGTTTTTATGAGAAGATATTTCCTTTTTCACCATAGGCCTCAAAGCGCTGCAAATGTCCACTTCCAAATATTACAAAAAGAGTGTTTCAAACCTGCTCTATGAAAGGAAGTTTTCAACTCTATGAGTGGAATGCAAACATCACAGAGAAGTTTCTGAGAATGCATCTGTCTTGAGCTTCTATGAAGAAATTCCCGTTTCCAACGAAATCTTAAAATCTATCCAAATATCCACCTGCAGATCCTACAAAAGGAGTGTTTCCAAAATGCTGTATCAAAACAAAGGTTCAACTGTGTTCGTTTAGGACACACATCACAAATAAGTTTCTGAGAATCCTTCTGTCTAGTTTTTATTTGAAGATATTTCCTTTCTCCCCGTAGGCCTGAAAGCGCTTGAAATGTCCACTTCCAGATACTACAGAAAGAGTGTTTCAAACCTGCACTCTGAAAAGGAATGTTCAATTCTGTGACTTGAATGCAAACATCAGAAAGAAGTTCCTGAGAATACTTCTCTCTAGATTTTATACGTCATCCCGTTTCCAACGAAATCCACAAAGCTATCCAATTATCCACTTTCAGATTCCACAAAGAGTGTTTTAAAATTGCTCTGTAACAGAAATGTTCAACTCTGTTAGTTGAATACACACATCACAAACAAGTTTCTGAGACGGCTTCTGTCTAGTTTTTATGGGAAGATATTTCCTTTTAACCATAGGCCTCAAAGAGCTCGAAATATCCACTTCCAGGTAGTGCCGAAAGAGTGTTTCAAACCTACTCTATAAAAGGGAATATTCAACTCTGTGACTTGAATGCAAACATCACAAAGCAGTTTCTGAGAATGCTTCCGTCTAGATTTTCTATGAAGATATTCCCGTTTCCAACGAAATCTTCAAAGCTATCTAAATATCAACTTGCAGATTCTACTAAAGGAATGTCTCCAAAATGCTGTATCCAAACAAAGGTTCAGCTCTGTGAAATGAGGACATACAGCACAAAGAAGTTTCTGAGAATGCTCCTGTCTGGATTTTATAGGAAGATAACCCGTTTCCAACGAAATCCTCAAAGCTATCCAAATATCCACTTGCAGATTCTACCAAAAGAGTGTTTCAAAACTACTCTGTCAAAAGGAAGGTTCAACACTGTTACTTGAGTACACACAACACAAAGAAGTTTCTGAGAATGCTTCTTTCTGGTTTTTATGAGAAGATATTTCCTTTTTCACCATAGGCCTCAAAGCGCTCGAAATGTCCGCTTCCAGGTAGTGCAGAAAGAGTGTTTCAAACCTGCTCTATGAAAGGAAGTGTTCAACTCTACTGAGTTGAATGCAAACATCACAGAGATGTTTCCGAGAATGCTTCTGTCTTGATTTTATATGAAGATATTCCGGTTTCCAACGAAATCTTCAAAGCTATCCAAATATCCACCTGCAGATTCTACAAAAGGAGTGTTTCCAAAATGCTGTATCAAAACAAAGGTTCAACTCTGTTAGTTGAGGACACACATCACAAATAAGTTTCTGAGAATGCTTCTGTCTAGTTTTTATTTGAAGGTATTTCCTTTCTCTCCATAGGCCTGAAAGCGCTTGAAATGCCCACTTCCAGATACTAGAGAAAGAGTGTTTCAAACCTGCTCTATGAAAGGGAATGTTCAATTCTGTGACTTGAATGCAAACATCACAAAGCAAGTTCCTGAGAATGCTTCTCTCTAGATAATATATGTCATCCCGTTTCCAACGAAATCCTCAAAGCTATCCAAATATCCACTTGCAGATTCTACAAAAAGAGTGTTTCAAAACTGCTCTGTCAAAAGGATGGTTCAACACTGTTACATGAGTACACACAACACAAAGAAGTTTCTGAGAATGCTTCTTTCTGGTTTCTATGAGAAGATATTTCCTTTTTCACCATAGGACTCAAAGCGCTCGAAATGTCCTCTTCCAGGTAGTGCAGAAAGAGTGTTTCAAACCGGCTCTATGAAAGGAAGTGTTCAACTCCATGAACTGAATGCAAACATCACTGAGAAGTTTCTGAGAATGCTTCTGTTTGATTTTATATGAAGAAATTCCCGTTTCCAACGAAATCTTCAGAGCTATCCACATATCCACCTGCAGATTCTACAAAAGGAGTGTTTCCAAAATGCTGTATCAAAACCAAAGTTCAACTCTGTTAGTTGAGGACACACATCACAAATAAGATTCTGAGAATGCTTCTGTCTAGATTCTATATGAAGATATCCCCTTTCCAACGAATCCCTCTAAGCTATCCAAATATCCACCTGCAGATTCTACAAAAAGAGTGTTTCCAAAATGCTGTATCAAAACAAAGTTTCAACTCTGTTAGTTGAGGACACACATCACAAATAAGTTTGAGGATGCTTCTGTCTAGTTTTTATTCGAAGATATTTCCTTTCTCACCATAGGCCTGAAAGCGCTTGAAATGTCCACTTCCAGATACTACAGAATGAGTGTTTCAAACCTGCTCTATCAAAGTGAATGTTCAATTCTGTGACTTCAATGCAAACATCACAAAGAAGTTCCTGAGAATGCTTCTCTCTAGATTTTATATGTAATCCCGCTTCCAACGAAGTCCTCAAAGCCATCCGAATATCCACTTTCTGATTCCACAAAAGGATTGTCTTAAAACTGCTCTGTAAAAACAAAAGTTCAAGTCTGTTAGTTGAATACACACATCACAAACAAGTTTCTGAGAATGCTTCTGTCTAGTTTTTATGGGAAGATATTTCCTTTTTCACCATAGGCCTCAAAGCACTCGAAATGTCCACTTCCAGATAGTGCAGAAAGAGTGTTTCAAACGTGCTCTATAAAAGAGAATATTCAACTCTGTGACTTGAATGGAAACATCACAAAGCAGTTTCTGAGAATGCCTCCCTCTAGATTTATATGGAGATATTCCGTTTTCGAACGAAATCTTCAAATCTATCTAAATATCAACTTGCAGATTCTACTCAAGGAATGTTTCCAAAATGCTGTATGCAAGCAATGGTTCAACTCTGTTAATTGAGGTCATACAGCACAAAGAAGTTTCTGAGAATGCTTCTGTCTAGATTTTATATGAAGATATCCCGTTTCCAACGAAATCCTCAAAGCTATCCAAATATCCACTTGCAGATTCTACAAAAAGATTGTTTCAAAACTGCTGTGTCAAAAGGAAGGTTCAACTCTGTTACTTGAGTACACACATCAAAAAGAAGTTTCTGAGAATGCTTGTTTCTGGTTTTTATGAGAAGATATTTCCTTTTTCACCATAGGCCTCAAAGCGCTGCAAATGTCCACTTCCACATATTACAAAAAGAGTGTTTCAAACCTGCTCTATGAAAGGAAGTTTTCAACTCTATGAGTGGAATGCAAACATCACAGAGAAGTTTCTGAGAATGCATCTGTCTTGAGTTTCTATGCAGAAATTCCCGTTTCCAACGAAATCTTAAAATCTATCCAAATATCCACCTGCAGATCCTACAAAAGGAGTGTTTCCAAAATGCTGTATCAAAACAAAGGTTCAACTGTGTTCGTTTAGGACACACATCACAAATAAGTTTCTGAGAACCCTTCTGTCTAGTTTTTAATTTGAAGATATTTCCTTTCTCCCCATAGGCCTGAAAGCGCTTGAAATGTCCACTTCCAGATACTGCAGAAAGAGTGTTTCAAACCTGCACTATGAAAAGGAATGTTCAATTCTGTGACTTGAATACAAACATCAGAAAGAAGTTCCTGAGAATGCTTCTCTCTAGTATTTTATACGTCATCCCGTTTCCAACGAAATCCACAAAGCTATCCAATTATCCACTTTCAGATTCCACAAAAAGAGTGTTTTAAAATTGCTCTGTAACAGAAATGTTCAACTCTGTTAGTTGAATACACACATCACAAACAAGTTTCTGAGACGGCTTCTGTCTAGTTTTTATGGGAAGATATTTCCTTTTAACCATAGGCCTCAAAGAGCTCGAAATATCCACTTCCAGGTAGTGCCGAAAGAGTGTTTCAAACCTACTCTATAAAAGGGAATATTCAACTCTGTGACTTGAATGCAAACATCACAAAGCAGTTTCTGAGAATGCTTCCGTCTAGATTTTCTATGAAGATATTCCCGTTTCCAACGAAATCTTCAAAGCTATCTAAATATCAACTTGCAGATTCTACTAAAGGAATGTCTCCAAAATGCTGTATCCAAACAAAGGTTCAGCTCTGTGAATTGAGGACATACAGCACAAAGAAGTTTCTGAGAATGCTCCTGTCTGGATTTTATATGAAGATAACCCGTTTCCAATGAAATCCTCAAAGCTATCCAAATATCCACTTGCAGATTCTACCAAAAGAGTGTTTCAAAACTGCTCTGTCAAAAGGAAGGTTCAACACTGTTACTTGAGTACACACAACACAAAGAAGTTTCTGAGAATGCTTCTTTCTGGTTTTTATGAGAAGATATTTCCTTTTTCACCATAGGCCTCAAAGCGCTCGAAATGTCCACTTCCAGGTAGTGCAGAAAGAGTGTTTCAAACCTGCTCTATGAAAGGAAGTGTTCAACTCTACTGAGTTGAATGCAAACATCACAGAGATGTTTCCGAGAATGCTTCTGTCTTGATTTTATATGAAGATATTCCGGTTTCCAACGAAATCTTCAAAGCTATCCAAATATCCACCTGCAGATTCTACAAAAGGAGTGTTTCCAAAATGCTGTATCAAAACAAAGGTTCAACTCTGTTAGTTGAGGACACACATCACAAATAAGTTTCTGAGAATGCTTCTGTCTAGTTTTTATTTGAAGGTATTTCCTTTCTCTCCATAGGCCTGAAAGCGCTTGAAATGCCCACTTCCAGATACTAGAGAAAGAGTGTTTCAAACCTGCTCTATGAAAGGGAATGTTCAATTCTGTGACTTGAATGCAAACATCACAAAGAAGTTCCTGAGAATGCTTCTCTCTAGATATTATATGTCATCCCGTTTCCAACGAAATCCTCAAAGCTATCCAAATATCCACTTGCAGATTCTACAAAAAGAGTGTTTCAAAACTGCTCTGTCAAAAGGATGGTTCAACACTGTTACATGAGTACACACAACACAAAGAAGTTTCTGAGAATGCTTCTTTCTGGTTTCTATGAGAAGATATTTCCTTTTTCACCATAGGACTCAAAGCGCTCGAAATGTCCTCTTCCAGGTAGTGCAGAAAGAGTGTTTCAAACCTGCTCTATGAAAGGAAGTGTACAACTCCATGAGCTGAATGCAAACATCACTGAGAAGTTTCTGAGAATGCTTCTGTTTGATTTTATATGAAGAAATTCCCGTTTCCAACGAAATCTTCAGAGCTATCCACATATCCACCTGCAGATTCTACAAAAGGAGTGTTTCCAAAATGCTGTATCAAAACCAAGGTTCAACTCTGTTAGTTGAGGACACACATCACAAATAAGTTTCTGAGAATGCTTCTGTCTAGATTTTATATGAAGATATCCCCTTTCCAACGAATCCCTCTAAGCTATCCAAATATCCACCTGCAGATTCTACAAAAAGAGTGTTTCCAAAATGCTGTATCAAAACAAAGTTTCAACTCTGTTAGTTGAGGACACACATCACAAATAAGTTTGAGGATGCTTCTGTCTAGTTTTTATTCGAAGATATTTCCTTTCTCACCATAGGCCTGAAAGCGCTTGAAATGTCCACTTCCAGATACTACAGAATGAGTGTTTCAAACCTGCTCTATCAAAGTGAATGTTCAATTCTGTGACTTCAATGCAAACATCACAAAGAAGTTCCTGAGAATGCTTCTCTCTAGATTTTATACGTAATCCCGCTTCCAACGAAATCCTCAGAGCCATCCGAATATCCACTTTCTGATTCCACAAAAAGAGTGTTTTAAAACGGCTCTGTAAAAACAAAAGTTCAACTCTGTTAGTTGAATACACACATCACAAACAAGTTTTCTGAGAATGCTTCTGTCTAGTTTTTATGGGAAGATATTTCCTTTTTCACCATAGGCCTCAAAGCGCTCGAAATGTCCGCTTCCAGATAGTGCAGAAAGAGTGTTTCAAACGTGCTCTATAAAAGGGAATATTCAACTCTGTGACTTGAATGGAAACATCACAAAGCAGTTTCTGAGAATGCTTCCCTCTAGATTTTATATGGAGATATTCCCTTTTCCAACGAAATCTTCAAATCTATCTAAATATCAACTTGCAGATTCTACTCAAGGAATGTTTCCAAAATGCTGTATCCAGGCAATGGTTCAACTCTGTTAATTGAGGACATACAGCACAAAGAAGTTTCTGAGAATGCTTCTGTCTAGATTTTATATGAAGATATCCCGTTTCCAACGAAATCCTCAAAGCTATCCAAATATCCACTTGCAGATTCTACAAAAAGATTGTTTCAAAACTGCTGTGTCAAAAGGAAGGTTCAACTCTGTTACTTGAGTACACACATCAAAAAGAAGTTTCTGAGAATGCTTGTTTCTGGTTTTTATGAGAAGATATTTCCTTTTTCACCATAGGCCTCAAAGCGCTGCAAATGTCCACTTCCAAATATTACAAAAAGAGTGTTTCAAACCTGCTCTATGAAAGGAAGTTTTCAACTCTATGAGTGGAATGCAAACATCACAGAGAAGTTTCTGAGAATGCATCTGTCTTGAGTTTCTATGCAGAAATTCCCGTTTCCAACGAAATCTTAAAATCTATCCAAATATCCACCTGCAGATCCTACAAAAGGAGTGTTTCCAAAATGCTGTATCAAAACAAAGGTTCAACTGTGTTCGTTTAGGACACACATCACAAATAAGTTTCTGAGAATCCTTCTGTCTAGTTTTTATTTGAAGATATTTCCTTTCTCCCCGTAGGCCTGAAAGCGCTTGAAATGTCCACTTCCAGATACTACAGAAAGAGTGTTTCAAACCTGCACTCTGAAAAGGAATGTTCAATTCTGTGACTTGAATGCAAACATCAGAAAGAAGTTCCTGAGAATGCTTCTCTCTAGATTTTATACGTCATCCCGTTTCCAACGAAATCCACAAAGCTATCCAATTATCCACTTTCAGATTCCACAGAAAGAGTGTTTTAAAATTGCTCTGTAACAGAAATGTTCAACTCTGGTAGTTGAATACACACATCACAAACAAGTTTCTGAGACGGCTTCTGTCTAGTTTTTATGGGAAGATATTTCCTTTTAACCATAGGCCTCAAAGAGCTCGAAATATCCACTTCCAGGTAGTGCCGAAAGAGTGTTTCAAACCTACTCTATAAAAGGGAATATTCAACTCTGTGACTTGAATGCAAACATCACAAAGCAGTTTCTGAGAATGCTTCCGTCTAGATTTTCTATGAAGATATTCCCGTTTCCAACGAAATCTTCAAAGCTATCTAAATATCAACTTGCAGATTCTACTAAAGGAATGTCTCCAAAATGCTGTATCCAAACAAAGGTTCAGCTCTGTGAATTGAGGACATACAGCACAAAGAAGTTTCTGAGAATGCTCCTGTCTGGATTTTATAGGAAGATAACCCGTTTCCAACGAAATCCTCAAAGCTATCCAAATATCCACTTGCAGATTCTACCAAAAGAGTGTTTCAAAACTGCTCTGTCAAAAGGAAGGTTCAACACTGTTACTTGAGTACACACAACACAAAGAAGTTTCTGAGAATGCTTCTTTCTGGTTTTTATGAGAAGATATTTCCTTTTTCACCATAGGCCTCAAAGAGCTCGAAATGTCCGCTTCCAGGTAGGGCAGAAAGAGTGTTTCAAACCTGCTCTATGAAAGGAAGTGTTCAACTCTACTGAGTTGAATGCAAACATCACAGAGATGTTTCCGAGAATGCTTCTGTCTTGATTTTATAGGAAGATATTCCGGTTTCCAACAAAATCTTCAAAGCTATCCAAATATCCACCTGCAGATTCTACAAAAGGAGTGTTTCCAAAATGCTGTATCAAAACAAAGGTTCAACTCTGTTAGTTGAGGACACACATCACAAATAAGTTTCTGAGAATGCTTCTGTCTAGTTTTTATTTGAAGGTATTTCCTTTCTCTCCATAGGCCTGAAAGCGCTTGAAATGCCCACTTCCAGATACTAGAGAAAGAGTGTTTCAAACCTGCTCTATGAAAGGGAATGTTCAATTCTGTGACTTGAATGCAAACATCACAAAGAAGTTCCTGAGAATGCTTCTCTCTAGATATTATATGTCATCCCGTTTCCAACGAAATCCTCAAAGCTATCCAAATATCCACTTGCAGATTCTACAAAAAGAGTGTTTCAAAACTGCTCTGTCAAAAGGATGGTTCAACACTGTTACATGAGTACACACAACACAAAGAAGTTTCTGAGAATGCTTCTTTCTGGTTTCTATGAGAAGATATTTCCTTTTTCACCATAGGACTCAAAGCGCTCGAAATGTCCTCTTCAGGTAGTGCAGAAAGAGTGTTTCAAACCGGCTCTATGAAAGGAAGTGTTCAACTCCATGAACTGAATGCAAACATCACTGAGAAGTTTCTGAGAATGCTTCTGTTTGATTTTATATGAAGAAATTCCCGTTTCCAACGAAATCTTCAGAGCTATCCACATATCCACCTGCAGATTCTACAAAAGGAGTGTTTCCAAAATGCTGTATCAAAACCAAAGTTCAACTCTGTTAGTTGAGGACACACATCACAAATAAGTTTCTGAGAATGCTTCTGTCTAGATTCTATATGAAGATATCCCCTTTCCAACGAATCCCTCTAAGCTATCCAAATATCCACCTGCAGATTCTACAAAAAGAGTGTTTCCAAAATGCTGTATCAAAACAAAGTTTCAACTCTGTTAGTTGAGGACACACATCACAAATAAGTTTGAGGATGCTTCTGTCTAGTTTTTATTCGAAGATATTTCCTTTCTCACCATAGGCCTGAAAGCGCTTGAAATGTCCACTTCCAGATACTACAGAATGAGTGTTTCAAACCTGCTCTATCAAAGTGAATGTTCAATTCTGTGACTTCAATGCAAACATCACAAAGAAGTTCCTGAGAATGCTTCTCTCTAGATTTTATATGTAATCCCGCTTCCAACGAAATCCTCAGAGCCATCCGAATATCCACTTTCTGATTCCACAAAAAGAGTGTTTTAAAACGGCTCTGTAAAAACAAAAGTTCAACTCTGTTAGTTGAATACACACATCACAAACAAGTTTCTGAGAATGCTTCTGTCTAGCTTTTATGGGAAGATATTTCCTTTTTCACCATAGGCCTCAAAGCGCTCGAAATGTCCACTTCCAGATAGTGCAGAAAGAGTGTTTCAAACGTGCTCTATAAAAGGGAATATTCAACTCTGTGACTTGAATGGAAACATCACAAAGCAGTTTCTGAGAATGCTTCCCTCTAGATTTTATATGGAGATATTCCGTTTTCGAACGAAATCTTCAAATCTATCTAAATATCAACTTGCAGATTCTACTCAAGGAATGTTTCCAAAATGCTGTATGCAAGCAATGGTTCAACTCTGTTAATTGAGGTCATACAGCACAAAGAAGTTTCTGAGAATGCTTCTGTCTAGATTTTATATGAAGATATCCCGTTTCCAACGAAATCCTCAAAGCTATCCAAATATCCACTTGCAGATTCTACAAAAAGATTGTTTCAAAACTGCTGTGTCAAAAGGAAGGTTCAACTCTGTTACTTGAGTACACACATCAAAAAGAAGTTTCTGAGAATGCTTGTTTCTGGTTTTTATGAGAAGATATTTCCTTTTTCACCATAGGCCTCAAAGCGCTGCAAATGTCCACTTCCAAATATTACAAAAAGAGTGTTTCAAACCTGCTCTATGAAAGGAAGTTTTCAACTCTATGAGTGGAATGCAAACATCACAGAGAAGTTTCTGAGAATGCATCTGTCTTGAGTTTATATGCAGAAATTCCCGTTTCCAACGAAATCTTAAAATCTATCCAAATATCCACCTGCAGATCCTACAAAAGGAGTGTTTCCAAAATGCTGTATCAAAACAAAGGTTCAACTGTGTTCGTTTAGGACACACATCACAAATAAGTTTCTGAGAATCCTTCTGTCTAGTTTTTATTTGAAGATATTTCCTTTCTCCCCGTAGGCCTGAAAGCGCTTGAAATGTCCACTTCCAGATACTACAGAAAGAGTGTGTTTCAAACCTGCACTCTGAAAAGGAATGTTCAATTCTGTGACTTGAATGCAAACATCAGAAAGAAGTTCCTGAGAATGCTTCTCTCTAGATTTTATACGTCATCCCGTTTCCAACGAAATCCACAAAGCTATCCAATTATCCACTTTCAGATTCCACAAAAAGAGTGTTTTAAAATTGCTCTGTAACAGAAATGTTCAACTCTGGTAGTTGAATACACACATCACAAACAAGTTTCTGAGACGGCTTCTGTCTAGTTTTTATGGGAAGATATTTCCTTTTAACCATAGGCCTCAAAGAGCTCGAAATATCCACTTCCAGGTAGTGCCGAAAGAGTGTTTCAAACCTACTCTATAAAAGGGAATATTCAACTCTGTGACTTGAATGCAAACATCACAAAGCAGTTTCTGAGAATGCTTCCGTCTAGATTTTCTATGAAGATATTCCCGTTTCCAACGAAATCTTCAAAGCTATCTAAATATCAACTTGCAGATTCTACTAAAGGAATGTCTCCAAAATGCTGTATCCAAACAAAGGTTCAGCTCTGTGAATTGAGGACATACAGCACAAAGAAGTTTTTGAGAATGCTCCTGTCTGGATTTTATAGGAAGATAACCCGTTTCCAACGAAATCCTCAAAGCTATCCAAATATCCACTTGCAGATTCTACCAAAAGAGTGTTTCAAAACTGCTCTGTCAAAAGGAAGGTTCAACACTGTTACTTGAGTACACACAACACAAAGAAGTTTCTGAGAATGCTTCTTTCTGGTTTTTATGAGAAGATATTTCCTTTTTCACCATAGGCCTCAAAGCGCTCGAAATGTCCGCTTCCAGGTAGTGCAGAAAGAGTGTTTCAAACCTGCTCTATGAAAGGAAGTGTTCAACTCTACTGAGTTGAATGCAAACATCACAGAGATGTTTCCGAGAATGCTTTCTGTCTTGATTTTATATGAAGATATTCCGGTTTCCAACGAAATCTTCAAAGCTATCCAAATATCCACCTGCAGATTCTACAAAAGGAGTGTTTCCAAAATGCTGTATCAAAACAAAGGTTCAACTCTGTTAGTTGAGGACACACATCACAAATAAGTTTCTGAGAATGCTTCTGTCTAGTTTTTATTTGAAGGTATTTCCTTTCTCTCCATAGGCCTGAAAGCGCTTGAAATGCCCACTTCCAGATACTAGAGAAAGAGTGTTTCAAACCTGCTCTATGAAAGGGAATGTTCAATTCTGTGACTTGAATGCAAACATCACAAAGAAGTTCCTGAGAATGCTTCTCTCTAGATATTATATGTCATCCCGTTTCCAACGAAATCCTCAAAGCTATCCAAATATCCACTTGCAGATTCTACAAAAAGAGTGTTTCAAAACTGCTCTGTCAAAAGGATGGTTCAACACTGTTACATGAGTACACACAACACAAAGAAGTTTCTGAGAATGCTTCTTTCTGGTTTCTATGAGAAGATATTTCCTTTTTCACCATAGGACTCAAAGCGCTCGAAATGTCCTCTTCCAGGTAGTGCAGAAAGAGTGTTTCAAACCGGCTCTATGAAAGGAAGTGTTCAACTCCATGAACTGAATGCAAACATCACTGAGAAGTTTCTGAGAATGCTTCTGTTTGATTTTATATGAAGAAATTCCCATTTCCAACGAAATCTTCAGAGCTATCCACATATCCACCTGCAGATTCTACAAAAGGAGTGTTTCCAAAATGCTGTATCAAAACCAAGGTTCAACTACTGTTAGTTGAGGACACACATCACAAATAAGTTTCTGAGAATGCTTCTGTCTAGATTTTATATGAAGATATCCCCTTTCCAACGAATCCCTCTAAGCTATCCAAATATCCACCTGCAGATTCTACAAAAAGAGTGTTTCCAAAATGCTGTATCAAAACAAAGTTTCAACTCTGTTAGTTGAGGACACACATCACAAACAAGTTTCTGAGGATGCTTCTGTCTAGTTTTTATTCGAAGATATTTCCTTTCTCACCATAGGCCTGAAAGCGCTTGAAATGTCCACTTCCAGATACTACAGAATGAGTGTTTCAAACCTGCTCTATAAAAGTGAATGTTCAATTCCGTGACTTTAATGCAAACATCAGAAAGAAGTTCCTGAGAATGCTTCTCTCTAGATTTTATACGTAATCCCGCTTCCAACGAAATCCTCAGAGCCATCCGAATATCCACTTTCTGATTCCACAAAAAGAGTGTTTTAAAACGGCTCTGTAAAAACAAAAGTTCAACTCTGTTAGTTGAATACACACATCACAAACAAGTTTCTGAGAATGCTTCTGTCTAGTTTTTATGGGAAGATATTTCCTTTTTCACCATAGGCCTCAAAGCGCTCGAAATGTCCGCTTCCAGATAGTGCAGAAAGAGTGTTTCAAACGTGCTCTTTAAAAGGGAATATTCAACTCTGTGACTTGAATGGAAACATCACAAAGCAGTTTCTGAGAATGCTTCCCTCTAGATTTTATATGGAGATATTCTCTTTTCCAACGAAATCTTCAAATCTATCTAAATATCAACTTGCAGATTCTACTCAAGGAATGTTTCCAAAATGCTGTATCCAGGCAATGGTTCAACTCTGTTAATTGAGGACATACAGCACAAAGAAGTTTCTGAGAATGCTTCTGTCTAGATTTTATATGAAGATATCCCGTTTCCAACGAAATCCTCAAAGCTATCCAAATATCCACTTGCAGATTCTACAAAAAGATTGTTTCAAAACTGCTGTGTCAAAAGGAAGGTTCAACTCTGTTACTTGAGTACACACATCAAAAAGAAGTTTCTGAGAATGCTTGTTTCTGGTTTTTATGAGAAGATATTTCCTTTTTCACCATAGGCCTCAAAGCGCTGCAAATGTCCACTTCCAAATATTACAAAAAGAGTGTTTCAAACCTGCTCTATGAAAGGAAGTTTTCAACTCTATGAGTGGAATGCAAACATCACAGAGAAGTTTCTGAGAATGCATCTGTCTTGAGCTTCTATGAAGAAATTCCCGTTTCCAACGAAATCTTAAAATCTATCCAAATATCCACCTGCAGATCCTACAAAAGGAGTGTTTCCAAAATGCTGTATCAAAACAAAGGTTCAACTGTGTTCGTTTAGGACACACATCACAAATAAGTTTCTGAGAATCCTTCTCTCTAGTTTTAATTGAAGATATTTCCTTTCTCCCCGTAGGCCTGAAAGCGCTTGAAATGTCCACTTCCAGATACTACAGAAAGAGTGTTTCAAACCTGCACTCTGAAAAGGAATGTTCAATTCTGTGACTTGAATGCAAACATCAGAAAGAAGTTCCTGAGAATGCTTCTCTCTAGATTTTATACGTCATCCCGTTTCCAACGAAATCCACAAAGCTATCCAATTATCCACTTTCAGATTCCACAAAAAGAGTGTTTTAAATTGCTCTGTAACAGAAATGTTCAACTCTGTTAGTTGAATACACACATCACAAACAAGTTTCTGAGACGGCTTCTGTCTAGTTTTTATGGGAAGATATTTCCTTTTAACCATAGGCCTCAAAGAGCTCGAAATATCCACTTCCAGGTAGTGCCGAAAGAGTGTTTCAAACCTACTCTATAAAAGGGAATATTCAACTCTGTGACTTGAATGCAAACATCACAAAGCAGTTTCTGAGAATGCTTCCGTCTAGATTTTCTATGAAGATATTCCCGTTTCCAACGAAATCTTCAAAGCTATCTAAATATCAACTTGCAGATTCTACTAAAGGAATGTCTCCAAAATGCTGTATCCAAACAAAGGTTCAGCTCTGTGAATTGAGGACATACAGCACAAAGAAGTTTCTGAGAATGCTCCTGTCTGGATTTTATATGAAGATAACCCGTTTCCAACGAAATCCTCAAAGCTATCCAAATATCCACTTGCAGATTCTACCAAAAGAGTGTTTCAAAACTGCTCTGTCAAAAGGAAGGTTCAACACTGTTACTTGAGTACACACAACACAAAGAAGTTTCTGAGAATGCTTCTTTCTGGTTTTTATGAGAAGATATTTCCTTTTTCAACATAGGCCTCAAAGCGCTCGAAATGTCCGCTTCCAGATAGTGCAGAAAGAGTGTTTCAAACCTGCTCTATGAAAGGAAGTGTTCAACTCTACTGAGTTGAATGCAAACATCACAGAGATGTTTCCGAGAATGATTCTGTCTTGATTTTATATGAAGATATTCCGGTTTCCAACGAAATCTTCAAAGCTATCCAAATATCCACCTGCAGATTCTACAAAAGGAGTGTTTCCAAAATGCTGTATCAAAACAAAGGTTCAACTCTGTTAGTTGAGGACACACATCACAAATAAGTTTCTGAGAATGCTTCTGTCTAGTTTTTATTTGAAGGTATTTCCTTTCTCTCCATAGGCCTGAAAGCGCTTGAAATGCCCACTTCCAGATACTAGAGAAAGAGTGTTTCAAACCTGCTCTATGAAAGGGAATGTTCAATTCTGTGACTTGAATGCAAACATCACAAAGAAGTTCCTGAGAATGCTTCTCTCTAGATATTATATGTCATCCCGTTTCCAACGAAATCCTCAAAGCTATCCAAATATCCACTTGCAGATTCTACAAAAAGAGTGTTTCAAAACTGCTCTGTCAAAAGGATGGTTCAACACTGTTACATGAGTACACACAACACAAAGAAGTTTCTGAGAATGCTTCTTTCTGGTTTCTATGAGAAGATATTTCCTTTTTCACCATAGGACTCAAAGCGCTCGAAATGTCCTCTTCCAGGTAGTGCAGAAAGAGTGTTTCAAACCGGCTCTATGAAGGGAAGTGTTCAACTCCATGAACTGAATGCAAACATCACTGAGAAGTTTCTGAGAATGTTTCTGTTTGATTTTATATGAAGAAATTCCCGTTTCCAACGAAATCTTCAGAGCTATCCACATATCCACCTGCAGATTCTACAAAAGGAGTGTTTCCAAAATGCTGTATCAAAACCAAGGTTCAACTCTGTTAGTTGAGGACACACATCACAAATAAGTTTCTGAGAATGCTTCTGTCTAGATTTTATATGAAGATATCCCCTTTCCAACGAATCCCTCTAAGCTATCCAAATATCCACCTGCAGATTCTACAAAAAGAGTTTTTCCAAAATGCTGTATCAAAACAAAGTTTCAACTCTGTTAGTTGAGGACACACATCACAAATAAGTTTCTGAGGATGCTTCTGTCTAGTTTTTATTCGAAGATATTTCCTTTCTCACCATAGGCCTGAAAGCTCTTGAAATGTCCACTTCCAGATACTACAGAATGAGTGTTTCAAACCTGCTCTATCAAAGTGAATGTTCAATTCCGTGACTTCAATGCAAACATCAGAAAGAAGTTCCTGAGAATGCTTCTCTCTAGATTTTATACGTAATCCCGCTTCCAACGAAATCCTCAGAGCCATCCGAATATCCACTTTCTGATTCCACAAAAAGAGTGTTTTAAAACGGCTCTGTAAAAACAAAAGTTCAACTCTGTTAGTTGAATACACACATCACAAACAAGTTTCTGAGAATGCTTCTGTCTAGTTTTTATGGGAAGATATTTCCTTTTTCACCATAGGCCTCAAAGCGCTCGAAATGTCCGCTTCCAGATAGTGCAGAAAGAGTGTTTCAAACGTGCTCTATAAAAGGGAATATTCAACTCTGTGACTTGAATGGAAACATCACAAAGCAGTTTCTGAGAATGCTTCCCTCTAGATTTTATATGGAGATATTCCCTTTTCCAACGAAATCTTCAAATCTATCTAAATATCAACTTGCAGATTCTACTCAAGGAATGTTTCCAAAATGCTGTATCCAGGCAATGGTTCAACTCTGTTAATTGAGGACATACAGCACAAAGAAGTTTCTGAGAATGCTTCTGTCTAGATTTTATATGAAGATATCCCGTTTCCAACGAAATCCTCAAAGCTATCCAAATATCCACTTGCAGATTCTACAAAAAGATTGTTTCAAAACTGCTGTGTCAAAAGGAAGGTTCAACTCTGTTACTTGAGTACACACATCAAAAAGAAGTTTCTGAGAATGCTTGTTTCTGGTTTTTATGAGAAGATATTTCCTTTTTCACCACAGGCCTCAAAGTGCTGCAAAGATCCACTTCCAAATATTACAAAAAGAGTGTTTCAAACGTGCTCTATGAAAGGAAGTTTTCAACTCTATGAGTGGAATGCAAACATCACAGAGAAGTTTCTGAGAATGCATCTGTCTTGAGTTTCTATGAAGAAATTCCCGTTTCCAACGAAATCTTAAAATCTATCCAAATATCCACCTGCAGATTCTACAAAAGGAGTGTTTCCAAAATGCTGTATCAAAACAAAAGGTTCAACTGTGTTCGTTTAGGACACACATCACAAATAAGTTTCTGAGAAGCCTTCTGTCTAGTTTTTATTTGAAGATATTTCCTTCCTCCCCAGAGGCCTGAAAGCGCTTCAAATGTCCCCTTCCAGATACTACAGAAAGAGTGTTTCAAACCTGCACTATGAAAAGGAATGTTCAATTCTGTGACTTGAATGCAAACATCAGAAAGAAGTTCCTGAGAATGCTTCTCTCTAGATTTTATACGTCATCCCGTTTCCAACGAAATCCACAAAGCTATCCAATTATCCACTTTCAGATTCCACAAAGAGTGTTTTAAAATTGCTCTGTAACAGAAATGTTCAACTCTGTTAGTTGAATACACACATCACAAACAAGTTTCTGAGACGGCTTCTGTCTAGTTTTTATGGGAAGATATTTCCTTTTAACCATAGGCCTCAAAGAGCTCGAAATATCCACTTCCAGGTAGTGCCGAAAGAGTGTTTCAAACCTACTCTATAAAAGGGAATATTCAACTCTGTGACTTGAATGCAAACATCACAAAGCAGTTTCTGAGAATGCTTCCGTCTAGATTTTCTATGAAGATATTCCCGTTTCCAACGAAATCTTCAAAGCTATCTAAATATCAACTTGCAGATTCTACTAAAGGAATGTCTCCAAAATGCTGTATCCAAACAAAGGTTCAGCTCTGTGAATTGAGGACATACAGCACAAAGAAGTTTCTGAGAATGCTCCTGTCTGGATTTTATAGGAAGATAACCCGTTTCCAACGAAATCCTCAAAGCTATCCAAATATCCACTTGCAGATTCTACCAAAAGAGTGTTTCAAAACTGCTCTGTCAAAAGGAAGGTTCAACACTGTTACTTGAGTACACACAACACAAAGAAGTTTCTGAGAATGCTTCTTTCTGGTTTTTATGAGAAGATATTTCCTTTTTCACCATAGGCCTCAAAGCGCTCGAAATGTCCGCTTCCAGGTAGTGCAGAAAGAGTGTTTCAAACCTCCTCTATGAAAGGAAGTGTTCAACTCTACTGAGTTGAATGCAAACATCACAGAGATGTTTCCGAGAATGCTTCTGTCTTGATTTTATATGAAGATATTCCGGTTTCCAACGAAATCTTCAAAGCTATCCAAATATCCTCCTGCAGATTCTACAAAAGGTGTGTTTCCAAAATGCTGTATCAAAACCAAGGTTCAACTCTGTTAGTTGAGGACACACATCACAAATAAGTTTCTGAGAATGCTTCTGTCTAGTTTTTATTTGAAGGTATTTCCTTTCTCTCCATAGGCCTGAAAGCGCTTGAAATGCCCACTTCCAGATACTAGAGAAAGAGTGTTTCAAACCTGCTCTATGAAAGGGAATGTTCAATTCTGTGACTTGAATGCAAACATCACAAAGAAGTTCCTGAGAATGCTTCTCTCTAGATATTATATGTCATCCCGTTTCCAACGAAATCCTCAAAGCTATCCAAATATCCACTTGCAGATTCTACAAAAAGAGTGTTTCAAAACTGCTCTGTCAAAAGGATGGTTCAACACTGTTACATGAGTACACACAACACAAAGAAGTTTCTGAGAATGCTTCTTTCTGGTTTCTATGAGAAGATATTTCCTTTTTCACCATAGGACTCAAAGCGCTCGAAATGTCCTCTTCCAGGTAGTGCAGAAAGAGTGTTTCAAACCGGCTCTATGAAAGGAAGTGTTCAACTCCATGAACTGAATGCAAACATCACTGAGAAGTTTCTGAGAATGCTTCTGTTTGATTTTATATGAAGAAATTCCCGTTTCCAACGAAATCTTCAGAGCTATCCACATATCCACCTGCAGATTCTACAAAAGGAGTGTTTCCAAAATGCTGTATCAAAACCAAAGTTCAACTCTGTTAGTTGAGGACACACATCACAAATAAGTTTCTGAGAATGCTTCTGTCTAGATTCTATATGAAGATATCCCCTTTCCAACGAATCCCTCTAAGCTATCCAAATATCCACCTGCAGATTCTACAAAAAGAGTGTTTCCAAAATGCTGTATCAAAACAAAGTTTCAACTCTGTTAGTTGAGGACACACATCACAAATAAGTTTGAGGATGCTTCTGTCTAGTTTTTATTCGAAGATATTTCCTTTCTCACCATAGGCCTGAAAGCGCTTGAAATGTCCACTTCCAGATACTACAGAATGAGTGTTTCAAACCTGCTCTATCAAAGTGAATGTTCAATTCTGTGACTTCAATGCAAACATCACAAAGAAGTTCCTGAGAATGCTTCTCTCTAGATTTTATATGTAATCCCGCTTCCAACGAAATCCTCAGAGCCATCCGAATATCCACTTTCTGATTCCACAAAAAGAGTGTTTTAAAACGGCTCTGTAAAAACAAAAGTTCAACTCTGTTAGTTGAATACACACATCACAAACAAGTTTCTGAGAATGCTTCTGTCTAGTTTTTATGGGAAGATACTTCCTTTTTCACCATAGGCCTCAAAGCACTCGAAATGTCCACTTCCAGATAGTGCAGAAAGAGTGTTTCAAACGTGCTCTATAAAAGAGAATATTCAACTCTGTGACTTGAATGGAAACATCACAAAGCAGTTTCTGAGAATGCCTCCGTCTAGATTTTATATGAAGATATTCCCGTTTCCAACGAATTCTTCAAATCTATCTAAATATCAACTTGCAGATTCTACTAAAGGAATGTTTCCAAAATGCTGTATCCAAGCAATGGTTCAACTCTGTTAATTGAGGACATACAGCACAAAGAAGTTTCTGAGAATGCTTCTTTCTAGATTTTATATGAAGATATCCCGTTTCCAACGAAATCCTCAAAGCTATCCAAATATCCACTTGCAGATTCTACAGAAAGATTGTTTCAAAACTGCTGTGTCAAAAGGAAGGTTCAACTCTGTTACTTGAGTACACACATCAAAAAGCAGTTTCTGAGAATGCTTGTTTCTGGTTTTTATGAGAAGATATTTCCTTTTTCACCATAGGCCTCAAAGCGCTGCAAATGTCCACTTCCAAATATTACAAAAAGAGTGTTTCAAACCTGCTCTATGAAAGGAAGTTTTCAACTCTATGAGTGGAATGCAAACATCACAGAGAAGTTTCTGAGAATGCATCTGTCTTGAGCTTCTATGAAGAAATTCCCGTTTCCAACGAAATCTTAAAATCTATCCAAATATCCACCTGCAGATCCTACAAAAGGAGTGTTTCCAAAATGCTGTATCAAAACAAAGGTTCAACTGTGTTGGTTTAGGACACACATCACAAATAAGTTTCTGAGAATCCTTCTGTCTAGTTTTTATTTGAAGATATTTCCTTTCTCCCCGTAGGCCTGAAAGCGCTTGAAATGTCCACTTCCAGATACTACAGAAAGAGTGTTTCAAACCTGCACTCTGAAAAGGAATGTTCAATTCTGTGACTTGAATGCAAACATCAGAAAGAAGTTCCTGAGAATGCTTCTCTCTAGATTTTAAACGTAATCCCGTTTCCAACGAAATCCACAAAGCTATCCAATTATCCACTTTCAGATTCCACAAAAAGAGTGTTTTAAAATTGCTCTGTAACAGAAATGTTCAACTCTGTTAGTTGAATACACACATCACAAACAAGTTTCTGAGACGGCTTCTGTCTAGTTTTTATGGGAAGATATTTCCTTTTAACCATAGGCCTCAAAGAGCTCGAAATATCCACTTCCAGGTAGTGCCGAAAGAGTGTTTCAAACCTACTCTATAAAAGGGAATATTCAACTCTGTGACTTGAATGCAAACATCACAAAGCAGTTTCTGAGAATGCTTCCGTCTAGATTTTCTATGAAGATATTCCCGTTTCCAACGAAATCTTCAAAGCTATCTAAATATCAACTTGCAGATTCTACTAAAGGAATGTCTCCAAAATGCTGTATCCAAACAAAGGTTCAGCTCTGTGAATTGAGGACATACAGCACAAAGAAGTTTCTGAGAATGCTCCTGTCTGGATTTTATAGGAAGATAACCCGTTTCCAACGAAATCCTCAAAGCTATCCAAATATCCACTTGCAGATTCTACCAAAAGAGTGTTTCAAAACTACTCTGTCAAAAGGAAGGTTCAACACTGTTACTTGAGTACACACAACACAAAGAAGTTTCTGAGAATGCTTCTTTCTGGTTTTTATGAGAAGATATTTCCTTTTTCACCATAGGCCTCAAAGCGCTCGAAATGTCCGCTTCCAGGTAGTGCAGAAAGAGTGTTTCAAACCTGCTCTATGAAAGGAAGTGTTCAACTCTACTGAGTTGAATGCAAACATCACAGAGATGTTTCCGAGAATGCTTCTGTCTTGATTTTATATGAAGATATTCCGGTTTCCAACGAAATCTTCAAAGCTATCCAAATATCCACCTGCAGATTCTACAAAAGGAGTGTTTCCAAAATGCTGTATCAAAACAAAGGTTCAACTCTGTTAGTTGAGGACACACATCACAAATAAGTTTCTGAGAATGCTTCTGTCTAGTTTTTATTTGAAGGTATTTCCTTTCTCTCCATAGGCCTGAAAGCGCTTGAAATGCCCACTTCCAGATACTAGAGAAAGAGTGTTTCAAACCTGCTCTATGAAAGGGAATGTTCAATTCTGTGACTTGAATGCAAACATCACAAAGAAGTTCCTGAGAATGCTTCTCTCTAGATATTATATGTCATCCCGTTTCCAACGAAATCCTCAAAGCTATCCAAATATCCACTTGCAGATTCTACAAAAAGAGTGTTTCAAAACTGCTCTGTCAAAAGGATGGTTCAACACTGTTACATGAGTACACACAACACAAAGAAGTTTCTGAGAATGCTTCTTTCTGGTTTCTATGAGAAGATATTTCCTTTTTCACCATAGGACTCAAAGCGCTCGAAATGTCCTCTTCCAGGTAGTGCAGAAAGAGTGTTTCAAACCGGCTCTATGAAGGGAAGTGTTCAACTCCATGAACTGAATGCAAACATCACTGAGAAGTTTCTGAGAATGCTTCTGTTTGATTTTATATGAAGAAATTCCCGTTTCCAACGAAATCTTCAGAGCTATCCACATATCCACCTGCAGATTCTACAAAAGGAGTGTTTCCAGAATGCTGTATCAAAACCAAGGTTCAACTCTGTTAGTTGAGGACACACATCACAAATAAGTTTCTGAGAATGCTTCTGTCTAGATTTTATATGAAGATATCCCCTTTCCAACGAATCCCTCTAAGCTATCCAAATATCCACCTGCAGATTCTACAAAAAGAGTGTTTCCAAAATGCTGTATCAAAACAAAGTTTCAACTCTGTTAGTTGAGGACACACATCACAAATAAGTTTCTGAGGATGCTTCTGTCTAGTTTTTATTCGAAGATATTTCCTTTCTCACCATAGGCCTGAAAGCGCTTGAAATGTCCACTTCCAGATCCTACAGAATGAGTGTTTCAAACCTGCTCTATCAAAGTGAATGTTCAATTCTGTGACTTCAATGCAAACATCACAAAGAAAGTTCCTGAGAATGCTTCTCTCTAGATTTTATATGTAATCCCGCTTCCAACGAAATCCTCCGAGCCATCCGAATATCCACTTTCTGATTCCACAAAAAGAGTGTTTTAAAACGGCTCTGTAAAAACAAAAGTTCAACTCTGTTAGTTGAATACACACATCACAAACAAGTTTCTGAGAATGCTTCTGTCTAGTTTTTATGGGAAGATATTTCCTTTTTCACCATAGGCCTCAAAGCGCTCGAAATGTCCACTTCCAGATAGTGCAGAAAGAGTGTTTCAAACGTGCTCTATAAAAGGGAATATTCAACTCTGTGACTTGAATGGAAACATCACAAAGCAGTTTCTGAGAATGCTTCCCTCTAGATTTTATATGGAGATATTCCCTTTTCCAACGAAATCTTCAAATCTATCTAAATATCAACTTGCAGATTCTACTCAAGGAATGTTTCCAAAATGCTGTATCCAAGCAATGGTTCAACTCTGTTAATTGAGGACATACAGCACAAAGAAGTTTCTGAGAATGCTTCTGTCTAGATTTTTATATGAAGATATCCCGTTTCCAACGAAATCCTCAAAGCTATCCAAATATCCACTTGCAGATTCTACAAAAAGATTGTTTCAAAACTGCTGTGTCAAGAGGAAGGTTCAACTCTGTTACTTGAGTACACACATCAAAAAGAAGTTTCTGAGAATGCTTGTTTCTGGTTTTTACAAGAAGATATTTCCTTTTTCACCATAGGCCTCAAAGCGCTGCAAATGTCCACTTCCAAATATTACAAAAAGAGTGTTTCAAACCTGCTCTATGAAAGGAAGTTTTCAACTCTATGAGTGGAATGCAAACATCACAGAGAAGTTTCGGAGAATGCATCTGTCTTGAGTTTATATGAAGAAATTCCCGTTTCCAATGAAATCTTAAAATCTATCCAAATATCCACCTGCAGATTCTACAAAAGGAGTGTTTCCAAAATGCTGTATCAAAACAAAGGTTCAACTGTGTTCGTTTAGGACACACATCACAAATAAGTTTCTGAGAATCCTTCTGTCTAGTTTTTATTTCAAGATATTTCCTTTCTCCCCATAGGCTTGAAAGCGCTTGAAATGTCCACTTCCAGATACTACAGAGTGTTTCAAACCTGCACTATGAAAAGGAATGTTCAATTCTGTGACTTGAATGCAAACATCAGAAAGAAGTTCCTGAGAATGCTTCTCTCTAGATTTTAAACGTAATCCCGTTTCCAACGAAATCCACAAAGCTATCCCATTAACCACTTTCAGATTCCACCAAAAGAGTGTTTTAAAACTGCTCTGTAAAAAGAAATGTTCAACGCTCTTAGTTGAATACACACATCTCAAACAAGTTTCTGAGAAGGCTTCCGTCTAGTTTTTATGGGAAGATATTTCCTTTTTCACCATAGGCCTCAAAGCGCTCGAAATCTCCACTTCCAGGGAGTTTAGAAAGAGTGTTTCAAACCTGCTCTATAAAAGAATATTTAACTCTGTGACTTGAATGCAAACATCACAGAGCAGTTTCTGACAATGCTTCCGTCTAGATTTTTTATGAAGATATTCCCGTTTCCAACGAAATCTTCAAAGCTATCTAAATATCAACTTGCAGATTCTACTAAAGGAATGTTTCCAAAATGCTGTATCCAAACAAAGGTTCAACTCTGTGAATTGAGGACATACAGCACAAAGAAGTTTCTGAGAATGCTTCTGTCTAGATTTAATATGAAGATAACCCGTTTCCAACGAAATCCTCAAAGCTATCCAAATATCCACTGGCAGATTCTACAAAAAGAGTGTTTCAAAACTGCTCTGTCAAAAGGATGGTTCAACACTGTTACATGAGTACACACAACACAAAGAAGTTTCTGAGAACGCTTCTTTCTGGTTTTTATGAGAGGATATTTCCTTTTTCACCATAGGCCTCAAAGCGCTCGAAATGTCCACTTCCAGGTAGTGCAGAAAGAGTGTTTCAAACCTGCTCTATGAAAGGAAGTGTTCAACTCCATGAGCTGAATGCAAACATCACAGAGAAGTTGCCTGAGAATGCTTCTGTTTGATTTTATATGAAGAAATTCCCGTTTCCAACGAAATCTTCAAAGCTATCCACATATCCACCTGCAGATTCTTCAAAAGGAGTGTTTCCAAAATGCTGTATCAAAACCAAGGTTCAACTCTGTTAGTTGAGGACACACATCACAAATAAGTTTCTGAGAATGCTTCTGTCTAGATTTTATATGAAGATATCCCCTTTCCAACGAATCCCTCTAAGCTATCCAAATATCCACCTGCAGATTCTACAAAAAGAGTGTTTCCAAAATGCTGTATCAAAACAAAGTTTCAACTCTGTTAGTTGAGGACACACATCACAAATAAGTTTCTGAGGATGCTTCTGTCTAGTTTTAATTTGAAGATATTTCCTTTCTCACCATAGGCCTGAAAGCGCTTGAAATGTCCACTTCCAGATACTACAGCATGAGTGTTTCAAACCTGCTCTATCATAGTGAATGTTCAATTCTGTGACTTCAATGCAAACATCACAAAGTAGTTCCTGAGAATGCTTCTCTCTACATTTTATATGTAATCCCGCTTCCAACGAAATCCTCAAAGCCATCCGAATATCCACTTTCTGATTCCACAAAAAGATTGTTTTAAAACTGCTCTGTAAAAACAAAAGTTCAAGTCTGTTAGTTGAATACACACATCACAAACAAGTTTCTGAGAATGCTTCTGTCTAGTTTTTATGGGAAGATATTTCCTTTTTCACCATAGGCCTCAAAGCGCTCGAAATGTCCACTTCCAGATAGTGCCGAAAGAGTGTTTCAAACGTGCTCTATAAAAGGGAATATTCAACTCTGTGACTTGAATGGAAACATCACAAAGCAGTTTCTGAGAATGCCTCCGTCTAGATTTTATATGAAGATATTCCCGTTTCCAACGAAATCTTCAAATCTATCTAAATATCAACTTGCAGATTCTACTAAAGGAATGTTTCCAAAATGCTGTATCCAAGCAATGGTTCAACTCTGTTAATTGAGGACATACAGCACAAAGAAGTTTCTGAGAATGCTTCTGTCTAGATTTTATATGAAGATATCCCGTTTCCAACGAAATCCTCAAAGCTATCCAAATATCCACTTGCAGATTCTACAAAAAGATTGTTTCAAAACTGCTGTGTCAAAAGGAAGGTTCAACTCTGTTACTTGAGTACACACATCAAAAAGCAGTTTCTGAGAATGCTTGTTTCTGGTTTTTATGAGAAGATATTTCCTTTTTCACCATAGGCCTCAAAGCGCTGCAAATGTCCACTTCCAAATATTACAAAAAGAGTGTTTCAAACCTGCTCTATGAAAGGAAGTTTTCAACTCTGTGAGTGGAATGCAAACATCACAGAGAAGTTTCTGAGAATGCATCTGTCTTGAGTTTATATGAAGAAATTCCCGTTTCCAATGAAATCTTAAAATCTATCCAAATATCCACCTGCAGATTCTACAAAAGAGTGCTTCCAAAATGCTATATCAAAACAAAGGTTCAACTGTGTTCGTTGAGAACACACATCACAAATAAGTTTCTGAGAATCCTTCTGTCTAGTTTTTATTTCAAGATATTTCCTTTCTCCCCATAGGCCTGAAAGCGCTTGAAATGTCCACTTCCAGATACTACAGAGTGTTTCAAACCTGCACTATGAAAAGGAATGTTCAATTCTGTGACTTGAATGCAAACATCAGAAAGAAGTTCCTGAGAATGCTTCTCTCTAGATTTTAAACGTAATCCCGTTTCCAACGAAATCCACAAAGCTATCCAATTATCCACTTTCAGATTCCACAAAAAGAGTGTTTTAAAACTGCTCTGTAAAAAGAAATGTTCAACGCTCTTAGTTGAATACACACATCTCAAACAAGTTTCTGAGAAGGCTTCCGTCTAGTTTTTATGGGAAGATATTTCCTTTTTCACCATAGGCCTCAAAGCGCTCGAAATCTCCACTTCCAGGGAGTGCAGAAAGAGTGTTTCAAACCTGCTCTATAAAAGAATATTTAACTCTGTGACTTGAATGCAAACATCACAGAGCAGTTTCTGACAATGCTTCCGTCTAGATTTTTTATGAAGATATTCCCGTTTCCAACGAAATCTTCAAAGCTATCTAAATATCAACTTGCAGATTCTACTAAAGGAATGTTTCCAAAATGCTGTATCCAAACAAAGGTTCAACTCTGTGAATTGAGGACATACAGCACAAAGAAGTTTCTGAGAATGCTTCTGTCTAGATTTTATATGAAGATATCCCGTTTCCAACGAAATCCTCAAAGCTATCCAAATATCCACTTGCAGATTCTACAAAAAGATTGTTTCAAAACTGCTGTGTCAAAAGGAAGGTTCAACTCTGTTACTTGAGTACACACATCAAAAAGCAGTTTCTGAGAATGCTTGTTTCTGGTTTTTATGAGAAGATATTTCCTTTTTCACCATAGGCCTCAAAGCGCTGCAAATGTCCACTTCCAAATATTACAAAAAGAGTGTTTCAAACCTGCTCTATGAAAGGAAGTTTTCAACTCTGTGAGTGGAATGCAAACATCACAGAGAAGTTTCTGAGAATGCATCTGTCTTGAGTTTATATGAAGAAATTCCCGTTTCCAATGAAATCTTAAAATCTATCCAAATATCCACCTGCAGATTCTACAAAAGGAGTGCTTCCAAAATGCTATATCAAAACAAAGGTTCAACTGTGTTCGTTGAGAACACACATCACAAATAAGTTTCTGAGAATCCTTCTGTCTAGTTTTTATTTCAAGATATTTCCTTTCTCCGCATAGGCCTGAAAGCGCTTGAAATGTCCACTTCCAGATACTACAGAGTGTTTCAAACCTGCACTATGAAAAGGAATGTTCAATTCTGTGACTTGAATGCAAACATCAGAAAGAAGTTCCTGAGAATGCTTCTCTCTAGATTTTAAACGTAATCCCGTTTCCAACGAAATCCACAAAGCTATCCAATTATCCACTTTCAGATTCCACCAAAAGACTGTTTTAAAACTGCTCTGTAAAAAGAAATGTTCAACGGCTCTTAGTTGAATACACACATCTCAAACAAGTTTCTGAGAAGGCTTCCGTCTAGTTTTTATGGGAAGATATTTCCTTTTTCACCATAGGCCTCAAAGCGCTCGAAATCTCCACTTCCAGGGAGTGCAGAAAGAGTGTTTCAAACCTGCTCTATAAAAGAATATTTAACTCTGTGACTTGAATGCAAACATCACAGAGCAGTTTCTGACAATGCTTCCGTCTAGATTTTTTATGAAGATATTCCCGTTTCCAACGAAATCTTCAAAGCTATCTAAATATCAACTTGCAGATTCTACTAAAGGAATGTTTCCAAAATGCTGTATCCAAACAAAGGTTCAACTCTGTGAATTGAGGACATACAGCACAAAGAAGTTTCTGAGAATGCTTCTGTCTAGATTTAATATGAAGATAACCCGTTTCCAACGAAATCCTCAAAGCTATCCAAATATCCACTGGCAGATTCTACAAAAAGAGTGTTTCAAAACTGCTCTGTCAAAAGGATGGTTCAACACTGTTACATGAGTACACACAACACAAAGAAGTTTCTGAGAACGCTTCTTTCTGGTTTTTATGAGAAGATATTTCCCTTTTCACCATAGGCCTCAAAGCGCTCGAAATGTCCACTTCCAGGTAGTGCAGAAAGAGTGTTTCAAACCTGCTCTATGAAAGGAAGTGTTCAACTCCATGAGCTCAATGCAAACATCACAGAGAAGTTCCTGAGAATGCTTCTGTTTGATTTTATATGAAGAAATTCCCGTTTCCAACGAAATCTTCAGAGCTATGCACATATCCACCTGCAGATTCTACAAAAGGAGTGTTTCCAAAATGCTGTATCAAAACCAAGGTTCAACTCTGTTAGTTGAGGACACACATCACAAATAAGTTTCTGAGAATGCTTCTGTCTAGATTTTATATGAAGATATCCCCTTTCCAACGAAACCCTCTAAGCTATCCAAATATCCACCTGCAGATTCTACAAAAAGAGTGTTTCCAAAATGCTGTATCAAAACAAAGTTTCAACTCTGTTAGTTGAGGACACACATCACAAATAAGTTTCTGAGGATGCTTCTGTCTAGTTTTTATTCGAAGATATTTCCTTTCTCACCATAGGCCTGAAAGCGCTTGAAATGTCCACTTCCAGATACTACAGAATGAGTGTTTCAAACCTGCTCTATAAAAGTGAATGTTCAATTCCGTGACTTCAATGCAAACATCACAAAGAAGTTCCTGAGAATGCTTCTCTCTAGATTTTATACGTAATCCCGCTTCCAACGAAATCCTCAGAGCCATCCGAATATCCACTTTCTGATTCCACAAAAAGAGTGTTTTAAAACGGCTCTGTAAAAACAAAAGTTCAACTCTGTTAGTTGAATACACACATCACAAACAAGTTTCTGAGAATGCTTCTGTCTAGTTTTTATGGGAAGATATTTCCTTTTTCACCATAGGCCTCAAAGCGCTCGAAATGTCCGCTTCCAGATAGTGCAGAAAGAGTGTTTCAAACGTGCTCTATAAAAGGGAATATTCAACTCTGTGACTTGAATGGAAACATCAGAAAGCAGTTTCTGAGAATGCTTCCCTCTAGATTTTATATGGAGATATTCCCTTTTCCAACGAAATCTTCAAATCTATCTAAATATCAACTTGCAGATTCTACTCAAGGAATGTTTCCAAAATGCTGTATCCAGGCAATGGTTCAACTCTGTTAATTGAGGACATACAGCACAAAGAAGTTTCTGAGAATGCTCCTGTCTGGATTTTATATGAAGATATCCCGTTTCCAACGAACTCCTCAACGCTATCCAAATATCCACTTGCAGATTCTACAAAAAGATTGTTTCAAAACTGCTGTGTCAATAGGAAGGTTCAAGTCTGTTACTTGAGTACACACATCAAAAAGAAGTTTCTGAGAATGCTCGTTTCTGGTTTTTATAAGAAGATATTTTTTTTTCACCATAGGCCTCAAAGCGCTGCAAATGTCCACTTCCAAATATTACAAAAAGAGTGTTTCAAACCTGCTCTATGAAAGGAAGTTTTCAACTCTATGAGTGGAATGCAAACATCACAGGGAAGTTTCTGAGAATGCATCTGTCTTGAGTTTATATGAAGAAATTCCCGTTTCCAACGAAATCTTAAAATCTATCCAAATATCCACCTGCAGATTCTACAAAAGGAGTGTTTCCAAAATGCTGTATCAAAACAAAGGTTCAACTGTGTTCGTTTAGGGCACACATCACAAATAAGTTTCTGAGAAGTCTTCTGTCTAGTTTTTATTTGAAGATATTTCCTTTCTCCCCATAGTCCTGAAAGCGCTTGAAATGTCCACTTCCAGATACTACAGAAAGAGTGTTTCAAACCTGCACTATGAAGAGGAATGTTCAATTCTGTGACTTGAATGCAAACATCAGAAAGAAGTTCCTGAGAATGCTTCTCTCTAGATTTTATACGTAATCCCGTTTCCAACGCAATCCACAAAGCTATCCAATTATCCACTTTCAGATTCCACAAAAAGAGTGTTTTAAAACTGCTGTGTAGAAGGAAGTGTTCAACGCTCTTAGTTGAATACACACATCTCAAACAAGTTTCTGAGAAGGCTTCTGTCTAGTTTTTATGGGAAGATATTTCCTTTTAACCATAGGCCTCAAAGAGCTCGAAATATCCACTTCCAGGTAGTGCCGAAAGAGTGTTTCAAACCTACTCTATAAAAGGGAATATTCAACTCTGTGACTTGAATGCAAACATCACAAAGCAGTTTGCTGAGAATGCTTCCGTCTAGCATTTTCTATGAAGATATTCCCGTTTCCAACGAAATCTTCAAAGCTATCTAAATATCAACTTGCAGATTCTACTAAAGGAATGTCTCCAAAATGCTGTATCCAAACAAAGGTTCAGCTCTGTGAATTGAGGACATACAGCACAAAGAAGTTTCTGAGAATGCTCCTGTCTGGATTTTATATGAAGATAACCCGTTTCCAACGAAATCCTCAAAGCTATCCAAATATCCACTTGCAGATTCTACCAAAAGAGTGTTTCAAAACTACTCTGTCAAAAGGAAGGTTCAACACTGTTACTTGAGTACACACAACACAAAGAAGTTTCTGAGAATGCTTCTTTCTGGTTTTTATGAGAAGATATTTCCTTTTTCACCATAGGCCTCAAAGCGCTCGAAATGTCCGCTTCCAGGTAGTGCAGAAAGAGTGTTTCAAACCTGCTCTATGAAAGGAAGTGTTCAACTCTACTGAGTTGAATGCAAACATCACAGAGATGTTTCCGAGAATGCTTCTGTCTTGATTTTATATGAAGATATTCCGGTTTCCAACGAAATCTTCAAAGCTATCCAAATATCCACCTGCAGATTCTACAAAAGGAGTGTTTCCAAAATGCTGTATCAAAACAAAGGTTCAACTCTGTTAGTTGAGGACACACATCACAAATAAGTTTCTGAGAATGCTTCTGTCTAGTTTTTATTTGAAGGTATTTCCTTTCTCTCCATAGGCCTGAAAGCGCTTGAAATGCCCACTTCCAGATACTAGAGAAAGAGTGTTTCAAACCTGCTCTATGAAAGGGAATGTTCAATTCTGTGACTTGAATGCAAACATCACAAAGAAGTTCCTGAGAATGCTTCTCTCTAGATATTATATGTCATCCCGTTTCCAACGAAATCCTCAAAGCTATCCAAATATCCACTTGCAGATTCTACAAAAAGAGTGTTTCAAAACTCCTCTGTCAAAAGGATGGTTCAACACTGTTACATGAGTACACACAACACAAAGAAGTTTCTGAGAATGCTTCTTTCTGGTTTCTATGAGAAGATATTTCCTTTTTCACCATAGGACTCAAAGCGCTCGAAATGTCCTCTTCCAGGTAGTGCAGAAAGAGTGTTTCAAACCTGCTCTATGAAAGGAAGTGTTCAACTCCATGAGCTGAATGCAAACATCACTGAGAAGTTTCTGAGAATGCTTCTGTTTGATTTTATATGAAGAAATTCCCGTTTCCAATGAAATCTTCAGAGCTATCCACATATCCACCTGCAGATTCTACAAAAGGAGTGTTTCCAAAATGCTGTATCAAAACCAAGGTTCAACTCTGTTAGTTGAGGACACACATCACAAATAAGTTTCTGAGAATGCTTCTGTCTAGATTTTATATGAAGATATCCCCTTTCCAACGAATCCCTCTAAGCTATCCAAATATCCACCTGCAGATTCTACAAAAAGAGTGTTTCCAAAATGCTGTATCAAAACAAAGTTTCAACTCTGTTAGTTGAGGACACACATCACCAATTAGTTTGAGGATGCTTCTGTCTAGTTTTTATTCGAAGATATTTCCTTTCTCACCATAGGCCTGAAAGCGCTTGAAATGTCCACTTCCAGATACTACAGAATGAGTGTTTCAAACCTGCTCTATCAAAGTGAATGTTCAATTCTGTGACTTCAATGCAAACATCAGAAAGAAGTTCCTGAGAATGCTTCTCTCTAGATTTTATACGTAATCCCGCTTCCAACGAAATCCTCAGAGCCATCCGAATATCCACTTTCTGATTCCACAAAAAGAGTGTTTTAAAACGGCTCTGTAAAAACAAAAGTTCAACTCTGTTAGTTGAATACACACATCACAAACAAGTTTCTGAGAATGCTTCTGTCTAGTTTTTATGGGAAGATATTTCCTTTTTCACCATAGGCCTCAAAGCGCTCGAAATGTCCGCTTCCAGATAGTGCAGAAAGAGTGTTTCAAACGTGCTCTATAAAAGGGAATATTCAACTCTGTGACTTGAATGGAAACATCACAAAGCAGTTTCTGAGAATGCTTCCCTCTAGATTTTATATGGAGATATTCCCTTTTCCAACGAAATCTTCAAATCTATCTAAATATCAACTTGCAGATTCTACTCAAGGAATGTTTCCAAAATGCTGTATCCAGGCAATGGTTCAACTCTGTTAATTGAGGACATACAGCACAAAGAAGTTTCTGAGAATGCTTCTGTCTAGATTTTATATGAAGATATCCCGTTTCCAACGAAATCCTCAAAGCTATCCAAATATCCACTTGCAGATTCTACAAAAAGATTGTTTCAAAACTGCTGTGTCAAGAGGAAGGTTCAACTCTGTTACTTGAGTACACACATCAAAAAGAAGTTTCTGAGAATGCTTGTTTCTGGTTTTTATGAGAAGATATTTCCTTTTTCACCATAGGCCTCAAAGCGCTGCAAATGTCCACTTCCAAATATTACAAAAAGAGTGTTTCAAACCTGCTCTATGAAAGGAAGTTTTCAACTCTATGAGTGGAATGCAAACATCACAGAGAAGTTTCTGAGAATGCATCTGTCTTGAGCGTCTATGAAGAAATTCCCGTTTCCAACGAAATCTTAAAATCTATCCAAATATCCACCTGCAGATCCTACAAAAGGAGTGTTTCCAAAATGCTGTATCAAAACAAAGGTTCAACTGTGTTCGTTTAGGACACACATCACAAATAAGTTTCTGAGAATCCTTCTGTCTAGTTTTTATTTGAAGATATTTCCTTTCTCCCCGTAGGCCTGAAAGCGCTTGAAATGTCCACTTCCAGATACTACAGAAAGAGTGTTTCAAACCTGCACTCTGAAAAGGAATGTTCAATTCTGTGACTTGAATGCAAACATCAGAAAGAAGTTCCTGAGAATGCTTCTCTCTAGATTTTATACGTCATCCCGTTTCCAACGAAATCCACAAAGCTATCCAATTATCCACTTTCAGATTTCACAGAAAGAGTGTTTTAAAATTGCTCTGTAACAGAAATGTTCAACTACTGTTAGTTGAATACACACATCACAAACAAGTTTCTGAGACGGCTTCTGTCTAGTTTTTATGGGAAGATATTTCCTTTTAACCATAGGCCTCATAAGAGCTCGAAATATCCACTTCCAGGTAGTGCCGAAAGAGTGTTTCAAACCTACTCTATAAAAGGGAATATTCAACTCTGTGACTTGAATGCAAACATCACAAAGCAGTTTCTGAGAATGCTTCCGTCTAGATTTTTTATGAAGATATTCCCGTTTCCAACGAAATCTTCAAAGCTATCTAAATATCAACTTGCAGATTCTACTAAAGGAATGTTTCCAAAATGCTGTATCCAAACAAAGGTTCAACTCTGTGAATTGAGGACATACAGCACAAAGAAGTTTCTGAGAATGCTCCTGTCTGGATTTTATAGGAAGATAACCCGTTCCCAACGAAATCCTCAAAGCTATCCAAATATCCACTTGCAGATTCTACCAAAAGAGTGTTTCAAAACTACTCTGTCAAAAGGAAGGTTCAACACTGTTACTTGAGTACACACAACACAAAGAAGTTTCTGAGAATGCTTCTTTCTGGTTTTTATGAGAAGATATTTCCTTTTTCACCATAGGCCTCAAAGCGCTCGAAATGTCCGCTTCCAGGTAGTGCAGAAAGAGTGTTTCAAACCTGCTCTATGAAAGGAAGTGTTCAACTCTACTGAGTTGAATGCAAACATCACAGAGATGTTTCCGAGAATGCTTCTGTCTTGATTTTATATGAAGATATTCCGGTTTCCAACGAAATCTTCAAAGCTATCCAAATATCCACCTGCAGATTCTACAAAAGGAGTGTTTCCAAAATGCTGTATCAAAACAAAGGTTCAACTCTGTTAGTTGAGGACACACATCACAAATAAGTTTCTGAGAATGCTTCTGTCTAGTTTTTATTTGAAGGTATTTCCTTTCTCTCCATAGGCCTGAAAGCGCTTGAAATGCCCACTTCCAGATACTAGAGAAAGAGTGTTTCAAACCTGCTCTATGAAAGGGAATGTTCAATTCTGTGACTTGAATGCAAACATCACAAAGAAGTTCCTGAGAATGCTTCTCTCTAGATATTATATGTCATCCCGTTTCCAACGAAATCCTCAAAGCTATCCAAATATCCACTTGCAGATTCTACAAAAAGAGTGTTTCAAAACTGCTCTGTCAAAAGGATGGTTCAACACTGTTACATGAGTACACACAACACAAAGAAGTTTCTGAGAATGCTTCTTTCTGGTTTCTATGAGAAGATATTTCCTTTTTCACCATAGGACTCAAAGCGCTCGAAATGTCCTCTTCCAGGTAGTGCAGAAAGAGTGTTTCAAACCTGCTCTATGAAAGGAAGTGTACAACTCCATGAGCTGAATGCAAACATCACTGAGAAGTTTCTGAGAATGCTTCTGTTTGATTTTATATGAAGAAATTCCCGTTTCCAACGAAATCTTCAGAGCTATCCACATATCCACCTGCAGATTCTACAAAAGGAGTGTTTCCAAAATGCTGTATCAAAACCAAGGTTCAACTCTGTTAGTTGAGGACACACATCACAAATAAGTTTCTGAGAATGCTTCTGTCTAGATTTTATATGAAGATATCCCCTTTCCAACGAATCCCTCTAAGCTATCCAAATATCCACCTGCAGATTCTACAAAAAGAGTGTTTCCAAAATGCTGTATCAAAACAAAGTTTCAACTCTGTTAGTTGAGGACACACATCACAAATAAGTTTGAGGATGCTTCTGTCTAGTTTTTATTTGAAGGTATTCCCTTTCTCTCCATAGGCCTGAAAGCGCTTGAAATGCCCACTTCCAGATACTAGAGAAAGAGTGTTTCAAACCTGCTCTATGAAAGGGAATGTTCAATTCTGTGACTTGAATGCAAACATCACAAAGAAGTTCCTGAGAATGCTTCTCTCTAGATATTATATGTCATCCCGTTTCCAACGAAATCCTCAAAGCTATCCAAATATCCACTTGCAGATTCTACAAAAAGAGTGTTTCAAAACTCCTCTGTCAAAAGGATGGTTCAACACTGTTACATGAGTACACACAACACAAAGAAGTTTCTGAGAATGCTTCTTTCTGGTTTCTATGAGAAGATATTTCCTTTTTCACCATAGGACTCAAAGCGCTCGAAATGTCCTCTTCCAGGTAGTGCAGAAAGAGTGTTTCAAACCTGCTCTATGAAAGGAAGTGTACAACTCCATGAGCTGAATGCAAACATCACTGAGAAGTTTCTGAGAATGCTTCTGTTTGATTTTATATGAAGAAATTCCCGTTTCCAACGAAATCTTCAGAGCTATCCACATATCCACCTGCAGATTCTACAAAAGGAGTGTTTCCAAAATGCTGTATCAAAACCAAGGTTCAACTCTGTTAGTTGAGGACACACATCACAAATAAGTTTCTGAGAATGCTTCTGTCTAGATTTTATATGAAGATATCCCCTTTCCAATGAATCCCTCTAAGCTATCCAAATATCCACCTGCAGATTCTACAAAAAGAGTGTTTCCAAAATGCTGTATCAAAACAAAGTTTCAACTCTGTTAGTTGAGGACACACATCACAAATAAGTTTCTGAGGATGCTTCTGTCTAGTTTTTATTCGAAGATATTTCCTTTCTCACCATAGGCCTGAAAGCGCTTGAAATGTCCACTTCCAGATACTACAGAATGAGTGTTTCAAACCTGCTCTATAAAAGTGAATGTTCAATTCCGTGACTTCAATGCAAACATCAGAAAGAAGTTCCTGAGAATGCTTCTCTCTAGATTTTATACGTAATCCCGCTTCCAACGAAATCCTCAGAGCCATCCGAATATCCACTTTCTGATTCCACAAAAAGAGTGTTTTTAAAACGGCTCTGTAAAAACAAAAGTTCAACTCTGTTAGTTGAATACACACATCACAAACAAGTTTCTGAGAATGCTTCTGTCTAGTTTTTATGGGAAGATATTTCCTTTTTCACCATAGGCCTCAAAGCGCTCGAAATGTCCGCTTCCAGATAGTGCAGAAAGAGTGTTTCAAACGTGCTCTATAAAAGGGAATATTCAACTCTGTGACTTGAATGGAAACATCACAAAGCAGTTTCTGAGAATGCTTCCCTCTAGATTTTATATGGAGATATTCCCTTTTCCAACGAAATCTTCAAATCTATCTAAATATCAACTTGCAGATTCTACTCAAGGAATGTTTCCAAAATGCTGTATCCAGGCAATGGTTCAACTCTGTTAATTGAGGACATACAGCACAAAGAAGTTTCTGAGAATGCTTCTGTCTAGATTTTATATGAAGATATCCCGTTTCCAACGAAATCCTCAAAGCTATCCAAATATCCACTTGCAGATTCTACAAAAAGATTGTTTCAAAACTGCTGTGTCAAGAGGAAGGTTCAACTCTGTTACTTGAGTACACACATCAAAAAGAAGTTTCTGAGAATGCTTGTTTCTGGTTTTTATGAGAAGATATTTCCTTTTTCACCATAGGCCTCAAAGCGCTGCAAATGTCCACTTCCAAATATTACAAAAAGAGTGTTTCAAACCTGCTCTATGAAAGGAAGTTTTCAACTCTATGAGTGGAATGCAAACATCACAGAGAAGTTTCTCAGAATGCATCTGTCTTGAGCTTCTATGAAGAAATTCCCGTTTCCAACGAAATCTTAAAATCTATCCAAATATCCACCTGCAGATCCTACAAAAGGAGTGTTTCCAAAATGCTGTATCAAAACAAAGGTTCAACTGTGTTCGTTTAGGACACACATCACAAATAAGTTTCTGAGAATCCTTCTGTCTAGTTTTTATTTGAAGATATTTCCTTTCTCCCCGTAGGCCTGAAAGCGCTTGAAATGTCCACTTCCAGATACTACAGAAAGAGTGTTTCAAACCTGCACTCTGAAAAGGAATGTTCAATTCTGTGACTTGAATGCAAACATCAGAAAGAAGTTCCTGAGAATGCTTCTCTCTAGATTTTATACGTCATCCCGTTTCCAACGAAATCCACAAAGCTATCCAATTATCCACTTTCAGATTCCACAAAGAGTGTTTTAAAATTGCTCTGTAACAGAAATGTTCAACTCTGTTAGTTGAATACACACATCACAAACAAGTTTCTGAGACGGCTTCTGTCTAGTTTTTATGGGAAGATATTTCCTTTTAACCATAGGCCTCAAAGAGCTCGAAATATCCACTTCCAGGTAGTGCCGAAAGAGTGTTTCAAACCTACTCTATAAAAGGGAATATTCAACTCTGTGACTTGAATGCAAACATCACAAAGCAGTTTCTGAGAATGCTTCCGTCTAGATTTTCTATGAAGATATTCCTGTTTCCAACGAAATCTTCAAAGCTATCTAAATATCAACTTGCAGATTCTACTAAAGGAATGTCTCCAAAATGCTGTATCCAAACAAAGGTTCAGCTCTGTGAATTGAGGACATACAGCACAAAGAAGTTTCTGAGAATGCTCCTGTCTGGATTTTATATGAAGATAACCCGTTTCCAACGAAATCCTCAAAGCTATCCAAATATCCACTTGCAGATTCTACCAAAAGAGTGTTTCAAAACTGCTCTGTCAAAAGGAAGGTTCAACACTGTTACTTGAGTACACACAACACAAAGAAGTTTCTGAGAATGCTTCTTTCTGGTTTTTATGAGAAGATATTTCCTTTTTCACCATAGGCCTCAAAGCGCTCGAAATGTCCGCTTCCAGGTAGTGCAGAAAGAGTGTTTCAAACCTGCTCTATGAAAGGAAGTGTTCAACTCTACTGAGTTGAATGCAAACATCACAGAGATGTTTCCGAGAATGCTTCTGTCTTGATTTTATATGAAGATATTCCGGTTTCCAACGAAATCTTCAAAGCTATCCAAATATCCACCTGCAGATTCTACAAAAGGAGTGTTTCCAAAATGCTGTATCAAAACAAAGGTTCAACTCTGTTAGTTGAGGACACACATCACAAATAAGTTTCTGAGAATGCTTCTGTCTAGTTTTTATTTGAAGGTATTTCCTTTCTCTCCATAGGCCTGAAAGCGCTTGAAATGCCCACTTCCAGATACTAGAGAAAGAGTGTTTCAAACCTGCTCTATGAAAGGGAATGTTCAATTCTGTGACTTGAATGCAAACATCACAAAGAAGTTCCTGAGAATGCTTCTCTCTAGATATTATATGTCATCCCGTTTCCAACGAAATCCTCAAAGCTATCCAAATATCCACTTGCAGATTCTACAAAAAGAGTGTTTCAAAACTGCTCTGTCAAAAGGATGGTTCAACACTGTTACATGAGTACACACAACACAAAGAAGTTTCTGAGAATGCTTCTTTCTGGTTTCTATAAGAAGATATTTCCTTTTTCACCATAGGACTCAAAGCGCTCGAAATGTCCTCTTCCAGGTAGTGCAGAAAGAGTGTTTCAAACCTGCTCTATGAAAGGAAGTGTTCAACTCCATGAACTGAATGCAAACATCACTGAGAAGTTTCTGAGAATGCTTCTGTTTGATTTTATATGAAGAAATTCCCGTTTCCAACGAAATCTTCAGAGCTATCCACATATCCACCTGCAGATTCTACAAAAGGAGTGTTTCCAAAATGCTGTATCAAAACCAAAGTTCAACTCTGTTAGTTGAGGACACACATCACAAATAAGTTTCTGAGAATGCTTCTGTCTAGATTCTATATGAAGATATCCCCTTTCCAACGAATCCCTCTAAGCTATCCAAATATCCACCTGCAGATTCTACAAAAAGAGTGTTTCCAAAATGCTGTATCAAAACAAAGTTTCAACTCTGTTAGTTGAGGACACACATCACAAATAAGTTTGAGGATGCTTCTGTCTAGTTTTTATTCGAAGATATTTCCTTTCTCACCATAGGCCTGAAAGCGCTTGAAATGTCCACTTCCAGATACTACAGAATGAGTGTTTCAAACCTGCTCTATCAAAGTGAATGTTCAATTCTGTGACTTCAATGCAAACATCACAAAGAAGTTCCTGAGAATGCTTCTCTCTAGATTTTATATGTAATCCCGCTTCCAACGAAATCCTCAGAGCCATCCGAATATCCACTTTCTGATTCCACAAAAAGGGTGTTTTAAAACGGCTCTGTAAAAACAAAAGTTCAACTCTGTTAGTTGAATACACACATCACAAACAAGTTTCTGAGAATGCTTCTGTCTAGTTTTTATGGGAAGATATTTCCTTTTTCACCATAGGCCTCAAAGCGCTCGAAATGTCCACTTCCACATAGTGCAGAAAGATTGTTTCAAACGTGCTCTATAAAAGGGAATATTCAACTCTGTGACTTGAAGGGAAACATCATAAAGCAGTTTCTGAGAATGCTTCCCTCTTGATTTTATATGGAGATATTCCCTTTTCCAACGAAATCTTCAAATCTATCTAAATATCAACTTGCAGATTCTACTCAAGGAATGTTTCCAAAATGCTGTATCCAAGCAATGGTTCAACTCTGTTAATTGAGGACATACAGCACAAAGAAGTTTCTGAGAATGCTTCTGTCTAGATTTTATATGAAGATATCCCGTTTCCAACGAAATCATCAAAGCTATCCAAATGTCCACTTGCAGATTCTACAAAAAGATTGTTTCAAAACTGCTGTGTCAAAAGGAAGGTTCAACTCTGATATTTGAGTACACACATCAAAAAGAAGTTTCTGAGAATGCTTGTTTCTGGTTTTTATGAGAAGATATTTCCTTTTTCACCATAGGCCTCAAAGCGCTGCAAATGTCCACTTCCACATATTACAAAAAGAGTGTTTCAAACCTGCTCTATGAAAGGAAGTTTTCAACTCTATGAGTGGAATGCAAACATCACAGAGAAGTTTCTGAGAATGCATCTGTCTTGAGCTTCTATGAAGAAATTCCCGTTTCCAACGAAATCTTAAAATCTATCCAAATATCCACCTGCAGAACCTACAAAAGGAGTGTTTCCAAAATGCTGTATCAAAACAAAGGTTCAACTGTGTTCGTTTAGGACACACATCACAAATAAGTTTCTGAGAATCCTTCTCTCTAGTTTTTATTTGAAGATATTTCCTTTCTCCCTGTAGGCCTGAAAGCGCTTGAAATGTCCACTTCCAGATACTACAGAAAGAGTGTTTCAAACCTGCACTCTGAAAAGGAATGTTCAATTCTGTGACTTGAATGCAAACATCAGAAAGAAGTTCCTGAGAATGCTTCTCTCTAGATTTTATACGTCATCCCATTTCCAACGAAATCCACAAAGCTATCCAATTATCCACTTTCAGATTCCACAAAAAGAGTGTTTTAAAATTGCTCTGTAACAGAAATGTTCAACTCTGGTAGTTGAATACACACATCACAAACAAGTTTCTGAGACGGCTTCTGTCTAGTTTTTATGGGAAGATATTTCCTTTTAACCATAGGCCTCAAAGAGCTCGAAATATCCACTTCCAGGTAGTGCCGAAAGAGTGTTTCAAACCTACTCTATAAAAGGGAATATTCAACTCTGTGACTTGAATGCAAACATCACAAAGCAGTTTCTGAGAATGCTTCCGTCTAGATTTTCTATGAAGATATTCCCGTTTCCAACGAAATCTTCAAAGCTATCTAAATATCAACTTGCAGATTCTACTAAAGGAATGTCTCCAAAATGCTGTATCCAAACAAAGGTTCAGCTCTGTGAATTGAGGACATACAGCACAAAGAAGTTTCTGAGAATGCTCCTGTCTGGATTTTATATGAAGATAACCCGTTTCCAACGAAATCCTCAAAGCTATCCAAATATCCACTTGCAGATTCTACCAAAAGAGTGTTTCAAAACTGCTCTGTCAAAAGGAAGGTTCAACACTGTTACTTGAGTACACACAACACAAAGAAGTTTCTGAGAATGCTTCTTTCTGGTTTTTATGAGAAGATATTTCCTTTTTCACCATAGGCCTCAAAGCGCTCGAAATGTCCGCTTCCAGGTAGTGCAGAAAGAGTGTTTCAAACCTGCTCTATGAAAGGAAGTGTTCAACTCTACTGAGTTGAATGCAAACATCACAGAGATGTTTCCGAGAATGCTTCTGTCTTGATTTTATATGAAGATATTCCGGTTTCCAACGAAATCTTCAAAGCTATCCAAATATCCACCTGCAGATTCTACAAAAGGAGTGTTTCCAAAATGCTGTATCAAAACAAAGGTTCAACTCTGTTAGTTGAGGACACACATCACAAGTAAGTTTCTGAGAATGCTTCTGTCTAGTTTTTATTTGAAGGTATTTCCTTTCTCTCCATAGGCCTGAAAGCGCTTGAAATGCCCACTTCCAGATACTTGAGAAAGAGTGTTTCAAACCTGCTCTATGAAAGGGAATGTTCAATTCTGTGACTTGAATGCAAACATCACAAAGAAGTTCCTGAGAATGCTTCTCTCTAGATATTATATGTCATCCCGTTTCCAACGAAATCCTCAAAGCTATCCAAATATCCACTTGCAGATTCTACAAAAAGAGTGTTTCAAAACTGCTCTGTCAAAAGGATGGTTCAACACTGCTACATGAGTACACACAACACAAAGAAGTTTCTGAGAATGCTTCTTTCTGGTTTCTATGAGAAGATATTTCCTTATTCACCATAGGACTCAAAGCGCTCGAAATGTCCTCTTCCAGGTAGTGCAGAAAGAGTGTTTCAAACCGGCTCTATGAAAGGAAGTGTTCAACTCCATGAACTGAATGCAAACATCACTGAGAAGTTTCTGAGAATGCTTCTGTTTGATTTTATATGAAGAAATTCCCGTTTCCAACGAAATCTTTAGAGCTATCCACATATCCACCTGCAGATTCTACAAAAGGAGTGTTTCCAAAATGCTGTATCAAAACCAAGGTTCAACTCTGTTAGTTGAGGACACACATCACAAATAAGTTTCTGAGAATGCTTCTGTCTAGATTTTATATGAAGATATCCCCTTTCCAAAGAATCCCTCTAAGCTATCCAAATATCCACCTGCAGATTCTACAAAAAGAGTGTTTCCAAAATGCTGTATCAAAACAAAGTTTCAACTCTGTTAGTTGAGGACACACATCACAAATAAGTTTCTGAGGATGCTTCTGTCTAGTTTTTATTCGAAGATATTTCCTTTCTCACCATAGGCCTGAAAGCGCTTGAAATGTCCACATCCAGATACTACAGAATGAGTGTTTCAAACCTGCTCTATCAAAGTGAATGTTCAATTCTGTGACTTCAATGCAAACATCACAAAGAAGTTCCTGAGAATGCTTCTCTCTAGATTTTATATGTAATCCCGCTTCCAACGAAATCCTCAGAGCCATCCGAATATCCACTTTCTGATTCCACAAAAAAGGTGTTTTAAAACGGCTCTGTAAAAACAAAAGTTCAAGTCTGTTAGTTGAATACACACATCACAAACAAATTTCTGAGAATGCTTCTGTCTAGTTTTTATGGGAAGATATTTCCTTTTTCACCATAGACCTCAAAGCGCTCGAAATGTCCACTTCCAGATAGTGCAGAAAGAGTGTTTCAAACGTGCTCTATAAAAGGGCATATTCAACTCTGTGACTTGAATGGAAACATCACAAAGCAGTTTCTGAGAATGCTTCCGTCTAGATTTTCTATGAAGATATTCCCTTTTCCAACGAAATCTTCAAATCTATCTAAATATCAACTTGCAGATTCTACTAAAGGAATGTTTCCAAAATGCTGTATCCAAGCAATGGTTCAACTCTGTTAATTGAGGACATACAGCACAAAGAAGTTTCTGAGAATGCTTCTGTCTAGATTTTATATGAAGATATCCCGTTTCCAACGAAATCCTCAAAGCTATCTAAATATCCACTTGCAGATTCTACAAAAAGATTGTTTCAAAACTGCTGTGTCAAAAGGAAGGTTCAACTCTGTTACTTGAGTACACACATCAAAAAGAAGTTTCTGAGAATGCTTGTTTCTGGTTTTTATGAGAAGATATTTCCTTTTTCACCATAGGCCTCAAAGCGCTGCAAATGTCCACTTCCAAATATTACAAAAAGAGTGTTTCAAACCTGCTCTATGAAAGGAAGTTTTCAACTCTATGAGTGGAATGCAAACATCACAGAGAAGTTTCTGAGAATGCATCTGTCTTGAGTTTATATGAAGACATTCCCGTTTCCAACGAAATCTTAAAATCTATCCAAATATCCACCTGCAGATTCTACAAAAGGAGTGTTTCCAAAAGGCTGTATCAAAACAAAGGTTCAACTGTGTTCGTTTAGGACACACATCACCAATAAGTTTCTGAGAATCCTTCTGTCTAGTTTTTATTTGAAGATATTTCCTTTCTCCCCATAGGCCTGAAAGCGCTTGAAATGTCCACTTCCAGATACTACAGAAAGAGCGTTTCAAACCTGCACTATGAAAAGGAATGTTCAATTCTGTGACTTGAATGCAAACATCAGAAAGAAGTTCCTGAGAATGCTTCTCTCTAGATTTTATACGTCATCCCGTTTCCAACGAAATCCACAAAGCTATCCAGTTATCCACTTTCAGATTTCACAGAAAGAGTGTTTTAAAATTGCTCTGTAACAGAAATGTTCAACTCTGTTAGTTGAATACACACATCACAAACAAGTTTCTGAGACGGCTTCTGTCTAGTTTTTATGGGAAGATATTTCCTTTTAAGCATAGGCCTCAAAGAGCTCGAAATATCCACTTCCAGGTAGTGCCGAAAGAGTGTTTCAAACCTACTCTATAAAAGGGAATATTCAACTCTGTGACTTGAATGCAAACATCACAAAGCAGTTTATGAGAATGCTTCCGTCTAGATTTTCTATGAAGATATTCCCGTTACCAATGAAATCTTCAAAGCTTTCTAAATATCAACTTGCAGATTCTACTAAAGGAATGTTTCCAAAATGCTGTATCCAAACAAAGGTTCAGCTCTGTGAATTGAGGACATACAGCACAAAGAAGTTTCTGTGAATGCTGCTCCTAGTCTGGATTTTATAGGAAGATAACCCGTTTCCAACGAAATCCTCAAAGCTATCCAAATATCCACTTGCAGATTCTACCAAAAGAGTGTTTCAAAACTACTCTGTCAAAAGGAAGGTTCAACACTGTTACTTGAGTACACACAACACAAAGAAGTTTCTGAGAATGCTTCTTTCTGGTTTTTATGAGAAGATATTTCCTTTTTCACCATAGGCCTCAAAGCGCTCGAAATGTCCGCTTCCAGGTAGTGCAGAAAGAGTGTTTCAAACCTGCTCTATGAAAGGAAGTGTTCAACTCTACTGAGTTGAATGCAAACATCACAGAGATGTTTCCGAGAATGCTTCTGTCTTGATTTTATATGAAGATATTCCGGTTTCCAACGAAATCTTCAAAGCTATCCAAATATCCACCTGCAGATTCTACAAAAGGAGTGTTTCCAAAATGCTGTATCAAAACAAAGGTTCAACTCTGTTAGTTGAGGACACACATCACAAATAAGTTTCTGAGAATGCTTCTGTCTAGTTTTTATTTGAAGGTATTTCCTTTCTCTCCATAGGCCTGAAAGCGCTTGAAATGCCCACTTCCAGATACTAGAGAAAGAGTGTTTCAAACCTGCTCTATGAAAGGGAATGTTCAATTCTGTGACTTGAATGCAAACATCACAAAGAAGTTCCTGAGAATGCTTCTCTCTAGATATTATATGTCATCCCGTTTCCAACGAAATCCTCAAAGCTATCCAAATATCCACTTGCAGATTCTACAAAAAGAGTGTTTCAAAACTGCTCTGTCAAAAGGATGGTTCAACACTGTTACATGAGTACACACAACACAAAGAAGTTTCTGAGAATGCTTCTTTCTGGTTTCTATGAGAAGATATTTCCTTTTTCACCATAGGACTCAAAGCGCTCGAAATGTCCTCTTCCAGGTAGTGCAGAAAGAGTGTTTCAAACCGGCTCTATGAAAGGAAGTGTTCAACTCCATGAACTGAATGCAAACATCACTGAGAAGTTTCTGAGAATGCTTCTGTTTGATTTTATATGAAGAAATTCCCGTTTCCAACGAAATCTTCAGAGCTATCCACATATCCACCTGCAGATTCTACAAAAGGAGTGTTTCCAAAATGCTGTATCAAAACCAAAGTTCAACTCTGTTAGTTGAGGACACACATCACAAATAAGTTTCTGAGAATGCTTCTGTCTAGATTCTATATGAAGATATCCCCTTTCCAACGAATCCCTCTAAGCTATCCAAATATCCACCTGCAGATTCTACAAAAAGAGTGTTTCCAAAATGCTGTATCAAAACAAAGTTTCAACTCTGTTAGTTGAGGACACACATCACAAATAAGTTTGAGGATGCTTCTGTCTAGTTTTTATTCGAAGATATTTCCTTTCTCACCATAGGCCTGAAAGCGCTTGAAATGTCCACTTCCAGATACTACAGAATGAGTGTTTCAAACCTGCTCTATCAAAGTGAATGTTCAATTCTGTGACTTCAATGCAAACATCACAAAGAAGTTCCTGAGAATGCTTGTCTCTAGATTTTATACGTAATCCCGCTTCCAACGAAATCCTCAGAGCCATCCGAATATCCACTTTCTGATTCCACAAAAAGAGTGTTTTAAAACGGCTCTGTAAAAACAAAAGTTCAACTCTGTTAGTTGAATACACACATCACAAACAAGTTTCTGAGAATGCTTCTGTCTAGTTTTTATGGGAAGATATTTCCTTTTTCACCATAGGCCTCAAAGCGCTCGAAATGTCCGCTTCCAGATAGTGCAGAAAGAGTGTTTCAAACGTGCTCTATAAAAGGGAATATTCAACTCTGTGACTTGAATGGAAACATCACAAAGCAGTTTCTGAGAATGCTTCCCTCTAGATTTTATATGGAGATATTCCCTTTTCCAACGAAATCTTCAAATCTATCTAAATATCAACTTGCAGATTCTACTCAAGGAATGTTTCCAAAATGCTGTATCCAGGCAATGGTTCAACTCTGTTAATTGAGGACATACAGCACAAAGAAGTTTCTGAGAATGCTTCTGTCTAGATTTTATATGAAGATATCCCGTTTCCAACGAAATCCTCAAAGCTATCCAAATATCCACTTGCAGATTCTACAAAAAGATTGTTTCAAAACTGCTGTGTCAAAAGGAAGGTTCAACTCTGTTACTTGAGTACACACATCAAAAAGAAGTTTCTGAGAATGCTTGTTTCTGGTTTTTATGAGAAGATATTTCCTTTTTCACCATAGGCCTCAAAGCGCTGCAAATGTCCACTTCCAAATATTACAAAAAGAGTGTTTCAAACCTGCTCTATGAAAGGAAGTTTTCAACTCTATGAGTGGAATGCAAACATCACAGAGAAGTTTCTGAGAATGCATCTGTCTTGAGTTTCTATGCAGAAATTCCCGTTTCCAACGAAATCTTAAAATCTATCCAAATATCCACCTGCAGATCCTACAAAAGGAGTGTTTCCAAAATGCTGTATCAAAACAAAGGTTCAACTGTGTTCGTTTAGGACACACATCACAAATAAGTTTCTGAGAATCCTTCTGTCTAGTTTTTATTTGAAGATATTTCCTTTCTCCCCGTAGGCCTGAAAGCGCTTGAAATGTCCACTTCCAGATACTACAGAAAGAGTGTTTCAAACCTGCACTCTGAAAAGGAATGTTCAATTCTGTGACTTGAATGCAAACATCAGAAAGAAGTTCCTGAGAATGCTTCTCTCTAGATTTTATACGTCATCCCGTTTCCAACGAAATCCACAAAGCTATCCAATTATCCACTTTCAGATTCCACAGAAAGAGTGTTTTAAAATTGCTCTGTAACAGAAATGTTCAACTCTGGTAGTTGAATACACACATCACAAACAAGTTTCTGAGACGGCTTCTGTCTAGTTTTTATGGGAAGATATTTCCTTTTAACCATAGGCCTCAAAGAGCTCGAAATATCCACTTCCAGGTAGTGCCGAAAGAGTGTTTCAAACCTACTCTATAAAAGGGAATATTCAACTCTGTGACTTGAATGCAAACATCACAAAGCAGTTTCTGAGAATGCTTCCGTCTAGATTTTCTATGAAGATATTCCCGTTTCCAACGAAATCTTCAAAGCTATCTAAATATCAACTTGCAGATTCTACTAAAGGAATGTCTCCAAAATGCTGTATCCAAACAAAGGTTCAGCTCTGTGAATTGAGGACATACAGCACAAAGAAGTTTCTGAGAATGCTCCTGTCTGGATTTTATAGGAAGATAACCCGTTTCCAACGAAATCCTCAAAGCTATCCAAATATCCACTTGCAGATTCTACCAAAAGAGTGTTTCAAAACTACTCTGTCAAAAGGAAGGTTCAACACTGTTACTTGAGTACACACAACACAAAGAAGTTTCTGAGAATGCTTCTTTCTGGTTTTTATGAGAAGATATTTCCTTTTTCACCATAGGCCTCAAAGCGCTCGAAATGTCCGCTTCCAGGTAGTGCAGAAAGAGTGTTTCAAACCTGCTCTATGAAAGGAAGTGTTCAACTCTACTGAGTTGAATGCAAACATCACAGACATGTTTCCGAGAATGCTTCTGTCTTGATTTTATAGGAAGATATTCCGGTTTCCAACGAAATCTTCAAAGCTATCCAAATATCCACCTGCAGATTCTACAAAAGGAGTGTTTCCAAAATGCTGTATCAAAACAATGGTTCAACTCTGTTAGTTGAGGACACACATCACAAATAAGTTTCTGAGAATGCTTCTGTCTAGTTTTTATTTGAAGGTATTTCCTTTCTCTCCATAGGCCTGAAAGCTCTTGAAATGCCCACTTCCAGATACTAGAGAAAGAGTGTTTCAAACCTGCTCTATGAAAGGGAATGTTCAATTCTGTGACTTGAATGCAAACATCACAAAGAAGTTCCTGAGAATGCTTCTCTCTAGATATTATATGTCATCCCGTTTCCAACGAAATCCTCAAAGCTATCCAAATATCCACTTGCAGATTCTACAAAAAGAGTGTTTCAAAACTGCTCTGTCAAAAGGATGGTTCAACACTGTTACATGAGTACACACAACACAAAGAAGTTTCTGAGAATGCTTCTTTCTGGTTTCTATGAGAAGATATTTCCTTTTTCACCATAGGACTCAAAGCGCTCGAAATGTCCTCTTCCAGGTAGTGCAGAAAGAGTGTTTCAAACCGGCTCTATGAAAGGAAGTGTTCAACTCCATGAACTGAATGCAAACATCACTGAGAAGTTTCTGAGAATGCTTCTGTTTGATTTTATATGAAGAAATTCCCGTTTCCAACGAAATCTTCAGAGCTATGCACATATCCACCTGCAGATTCTACAAAAGGAGTGTTTCCAAAATGCTGTATCAAAACCAAGGTTCAACTCTGTTAGTTGAGGACACACATCACAAATAAGTTTCTGAGAATGCTTCTGTCTAGATTTTATATGAAGATATCCCCTTTCCAACGAATCCCTCTAAGCTATCCAAATATCCACCTGCAGATTCTACAAAAAGAGTGTTTCCAAAATGCTGTATCAAAACAAAGTTTCAACTCTGTTAGTTGAGGACACACATCACAAATAAGTTTCTGAGGATGCTTCTGTCTAGTTTTTATTCGAAGATATTTCCTTTCTCACCATAGGCCTGAAAGCGCTTGAAATGTCCACTTCCAGATACTACAGAATGAGTGTTTCAAACCTGCTCTATAAAAGTGAATGTTCAATTCCGTGACTTCAATGCAAACATCACAAAGAAGTTCCTGAGAATGCTTCTCTCTAGATTTTATATGTAATCCCGCTTCCAACGAAATCCTCAAAGCCATCCGAATATCCACTTTCTGATTCCACAAAAGGATTGTCTTAAAACTGCCGTGTAAAAACAAAAGTTCAAGTCTGTTAGTTGAATACACACATCACAAACTAGTTTCTGAGAATGCTTCCGTCTAGTTTTTATGGGAAGATATTTCCTTTTTCACCATAGGCCTCAAAACGCTCGAAATGTCCACTTCCAGGAAGTCCGGAAAGAGTGTTTCAAACCTGCTCTATAAAAGGGAATATTCAACTCTGTGACTTGAATGCAAACATCACAAAGCAGTTTCTGAGAATGCTTCCCTCTAGTATTTTATATGGAGATATTCCGTTTTCGAACGAAATCTTCAAATCTATCTAAATATCAACTTGCAGATTCTACTCAAGGAATGTTTCCAAAATGCTGTATGCAAGCAATGGTTCAACTCTGTTAATTGAGGTCATACAGCACAAAGAAGTTTCTGAGAATGCTTCTGTCTAGATTTTATATGAAGATATCCCGTTTCCAACGAAATCCTCAAAGCTATCCAAATATCCACTTGCAGATTCTACAAAAAGATTGTTTCAAAACTGCTGTGTCAAAAGGAAGGTTCAACTCTGTTACTTGAGTACACACATCAAAAAGAAGTTTCTGAGAATGCTTGTTTCTGGTTTTTATGAGAAGATATTTCCTTTTTCACCATAGGCCTCAAAGCGCTGCAAATGTCCACTTCCAAATATTACAAAAAGAGTGTTTCAAACCTGCTCTATGAAAGGAAGTTTTCAACTCTATGAGTGGAATGCAAACATCACAGAGAAGTTTCTGAGAATGCATCTGTCTTGAGTTTCTATGCAGAAATTCCCGTTTCCAACGAAATCTTAAAATCTATCCAAATATCCACCTGCAGATCCTACAAAAGGAGTGTTTCCAAAATGCTGTATCAAAACAAAGGTTCAACTGTGTTCGTTTAGGACACACATCACAAATAAGTTTCTGAGAATCCTTCTGTCTAGTTTTTATTTGAAGATATTTCCTTTCTCCCCGTAGGCCTGAAAGCGCTTGAAATGTCCACTTCCAGATACTACAGAAAGAGTGTTTCAAACCTGCACTCTGAAAAGGAATGTTCAATTCTGTGACTTGAATGCAAACATCAGAAAGAAGTTCCTGAGAATGCTTCTCTCTAGATTTTATACGTCATCCCGTTTCCAACGAAATCCACAAAGCTATCCAATTATCCACTTTCAGATTTCACAGAAAGAGTGTTTTAAAATTGCTCTGTAACAGAAATGTTCAACTCTGTTAGTTGAATACACACATCACAAACAAGTTTCTGAGACGGCTTCTGTCTAGTTTTTATGGGAAGATATTTCCTTTTAAGCATAGGCCTCAAAGAGCTCGAAATATCCACTTCCAGGTAGTGCCGAAAGAGTGTTTCAAACCTACTCTATAAAAGGGAATATTCAACTCTGTGACTTGAATGCAAACATCACAAAGCAGTTTATGAGAATGCTTCCGTCTAGATTTTCTATGAAGATATTCCCGTTTCCAATGAAATCTTCAAAGCTATCTAAATATCAACTTGCAGATTCTACTAAAGGAATGTTTCCACAATGCTGTATCCAAACAAAGGTTCAGCTCTGTGAATTGAGGACATACAGCACAAAGAAGTTTCTGTGAATGCTCCTGTCTGGATTTTATATGAAGATAACCCGTTTCCAACGAAATCCTCAAAGCTATCCAAATATCCACTTGCAGATTCTACCAAAAGAGTGTTTCAAACCTGCTCTGTCAAAAGGAAGGTTCAACACTGTTACTTGAGTACACACAACACAAAGAAGTTTCTGAGAATGCTTCTTTCTGGTTTTTATGAGAAGATATTTCCTTTTTCACCATAGGCCTCAAAGCGCTCGAAATGTCCGCTTCCAGGTAGTGCAGAAAGAGTGTTTCAAACCTGCTCTATGAAAGGAAGTGTTCAACTCCATGAGCTGAATGCAAACATCACAGAGAAGTTTCTGAGAATGCTTCTGTTTGATTTTACATGAAGAAATTCCCGTTTCCAACGAAATCTTCAAAGCTATCCACATATCCACCTGCAGATTCTACAAAAGGAGTGTTTCCAAAATGCTGTATCAAAACCAAGGTTCAACTCTGTTAGTTGAGGACACACATCACAAATAAGTTTCTGAGAATGCTTCTGTCTAGATTTTATATGAAGATATCCCCTTTCCAACGAATCCCTCTAAGCTATCCAAATATCCACCTGCAGATTCTACAAAAAGAGTGTTTCCAAAATGCTGTATCAAAACAAAGGTTCAACTCTGTTAGTTGAGGACACACATCACAAATAAGTTTGAGGATGCTTCTCTCTAGTTTTTATTTGAAGATATTTCCTTTCTCCCCATAGGCCTGAAAGCGCTTGAATTGTCCGCTTCCAGATACTACAGAATGAGTGTTTCAAACCTGCTCTATCAAAGTGAATGTTCAATTCTGTGACTTCAATGCAAACGTCACAAAGTAGTTCCTGAGAATGCTTCTCTCTAGATTTTATATGTAATCCCGCTTCCAACGAAGTCCTCAAAGCCATCCGAATATCCACTTTCTGATTCCACAAAAAGATTGTCTTAAAACTGCTCTGTAAAAACAAAAGTTCAAGTCTGTTAGTTGAATACACACATCATAAACAAGTTTCTGAGAATGCTTCTGTCTAGTTTTTATGGGAAGATATTTCCTTTTTCACCATAGGCCTCACAGCGCTCGAAATGTCCACTTCCAGATAGTGCAGAAAGAGTGTTTCAAACGTGCTCTATAAAAGAGAATATTCAACTCTGTGACTTGAATGGAAACATCACAAAGCAGTTTCTGAGAATGCCTCCGTCTAGATTTTATATGAAGATATTCCCGTTTCCAACGAAATCTTCAAATCTATCTAAATATCAACTTGCAGATTCTACTAAAGGAATGTTTCCAAAACGCTGTATCCAAGCAATGGTTCAACTCTGTTAATTGAGGACATACAGCACAAAGAAGTTTCTGAGAATGCTTCTGTCTAGATTTTATATGAAGATATCCCGTTTCCAACGAAATCCTCAAAGCTATCCAAATATCCACTTGCAGATTCTACAAAAAGATTGTTTCAAAACTGCTGTGTCAAAAGGAAGGTTCAACTCTGTTACTTGAGTACACACATCAAAAAGAAGTTTCTGAGAATGCTTGTTTCTGGTTTTTATGAGAAGATATTTCCTTTTTCACCATAGGCCTCACAGTGCTGCAAATGTCCACTTCCAAATATTACAAAAAGAGTGTTTCAAACCTGCTCTATGAAAGGAAGTTTTCAACTCTATGAGTGGAATGCAAACATCACAGAGAAGTTTCTGAGAATGCATCTGTCTTGAGTTTATATGCAGAAATTCCCGTTTCCAACGAAATCTTAAAATCTATCCAAATATCCACCTGCAGATCCTACAAAAGGAGTGTTTCCAAAATGCTGTATCAAAACAAAGGTTCAACTGTGTTCGTTTAGGACACACATCACAAATAAGTTTCTGAGAATCCTTCTGTCTAGTTTTTATTTGAAGATATTTCCTTTCTCCCCGTAGGCCTGAAAGCGCTTGAAATGTCCACTTCCAGATACTACAGAAAGAGTGTTTCAAACCTGCACTCTGAAAAGGAATGTTCAATTACTGTGACTTGAATGCAAACATCAGAAAGAAGTTCCTGAGAATGCTTCTCTCTAGATTTTATACGTCATCCCGTTTCCAACGAAATCCACAAAGCTATCCAATTATCCACTTTCAGATTCCACAAAAAGAGTGTTTTAAAATTGCTCTGTAACAGAAATGTTCAACTCTGTTAGTTGAATACACACATCACAAACAAGTTTCTGAGACGGCTTCTGTCTAGTTTTTATGGGAAGATATTTCCTTTTAACCATAGGCCTCAAAGAGCTCGAAATATCCACTTCCAGGTAGTGCCGAAAGAGTGTTTCAAACCTACTGTATAAAAGGGAATATTCAACTCTGTGACTTGAATGCAAACATCACAAAGCAGTTTCTGAGAATGCTTCCGTCTAGATTTTCTATGAAGATATTCCCGTTTCCAACGAAATCTTCAAAGCTATCTAAATATCAACTTGCAGATTCTACTAAAGGAATGTCTCCAAAATGCTGTATCCAAACAAAGGTTCAGCTCTGTGAATTGAGGACATACAGCACAAAGAAGTTTCTGAGAATGCTCCTGTCTGGATTTTATAGGAAGATAACCCGTTTCCAACGAAATCCTCAAAGCTATCCAAATATCCACTTGCAGATTCTACCAAAAGAGTGTTTCAAAACTGCTCTGTCAAAAGGAAGGTTCAACACTGTTACTTGAGTACACACAACACAAAGAAGTTTCTGAGAATGCTTCTTTCTGGTTTTTATGAGAAGATATTTCCTTTATCACCATAGGCCTCAAAGCGCTCGAAATGTCCGCTTCCAGGTAGTGCAGAAAGAGTGTTTCAAACCTGCTCTATGAAAGGAAGTGTTCAACTCTACTGAGTTGAATGCAAACATCACAGAGATGTTTCCGAGAATGCTTCTGTCTTGATTTTATATGAAGATATTCCGGTTTCCAACGAAATCTTCAAAGCTATCCAAATATCCACCTGCAGATTCTACAAAAGGAGTGTTTCCAAAATGCTGTATCAAAACAAAGGTTCAACTCTGTTAGTTGAGGACACACATCACAAATAAGTTTCTGAGAATGCTTCTGTCTAGTTTTTATTTGAAGGTATTTCCTTTCTCTCCATAGGCCTGAAAGCGCTTGAAATGCCCACTTCCAGATACTAGAGAAAGAGTGTTTCAAACCTGCTCTATGAAAGGGAATGTTCAATTCTGTGACTTGAATGCAAACATCACAAAGAAGTTCCTGAGAATGCTTCTCTCTAGATTTTATACGTAATCCCGCTTCCAACGAAATCCTCAGAGCCATCCGAATATCCACTTTCTGATTCCACAAAAAGAGTGTTTTAAAACGGCTCTGTAAAAACAAAAGTTCAACTCTGTTAGTTGAATACACACATCACAAACAAGTTTCTGAGAATGCTTCTGTCTAGTTTTTATGGGAAGATATTTCCTTTTTCACCATAGGCCTCAAAGCGCTCGAAATGTCCGCTTCCAGATAGTGCAGAAAGAGTGTTTCAAACGTGCTCTATAAAAGGGAATATTCAACTCTGTGACTTGAATGGAAACATCACAAAGCAGTTTCTGAGAATGCTTCCCTCTAGATTTTATATGGAGATATTCCCTTTTCCAACGAAATCTTCAAATCTATCTAAATATCAACTTGCAGATTCTACTCAAGGAATGTTTCCAAAATGCTGTATCCAGGCAATGGTTCAACTCTGTTAATTGAGGACATACAGCACAAAGAAGTTTCTGAGAATGCTTCTGTCTAGATTTTATATGAAGATATCCCGTTTCCAACGAAATCCTCAAAGCTATCCAAATATCCACTTGCAGATTCTACAAAAAGATTGTTTCGAAACTGCTGTGTCAAGAGGAAGGTTCAACTCTGTTACTTGAGTACACACATCAAAAAGAAGTTTCTGAGAATGCTTGTTTCTGGTTTTTATGAGAAGATATTTCCTTTTTCACCATAGGCCTCAAAGCGCTGCAAATGTCCACTTCCAAATATTACAAAAAGAGTGTTTCAAACCTGCTCTATGAAAGGAAGTTTTCAACTCTATGAGTGGAATGCAAACATCACAGAGAAGTTTCTGAGAATGCATCTGTCTTGAGTTTATATGAAGAAATTCCCGTTTCCAACGAAATCTTAAAATCTATCCACATATCCACCTGCAGATTCTACAAAGGGAGTGTTTCCAAAATGCTGTATCAAAACAAAGGTTCAACTGTGTTCGTTGAGGACACACATCACCAATAAGTTTCTGAGAATCCTTCTGTCTAGTTTTTATTTGAAGATCTTTCCTTTCTCCCCATAGGCCTGAAAGCGCTTGAAATGTCCACTTCCAGATACTACAGGAAGAGTGTTTCAAACCTGCACTATGAAAAGGAATGTTCAATTCTGTGACTTGAATGCAAACATCAGAAAGAAGTTCCTGAGAATGCTTCTCTCTAGATTTTATACGTCATCCCGTTTCCAATGAAATCCACAAAGCTATCCAATTATCCACTTTCAGATTCCACAAAAAGAGTGTTTTAAAACTGCTCTGTAAAAAGAAATTTTCAACGCTCTTAGTTGAATACACACATCTCAAACAAGTTTCTGAGAAGGCTTCCATCTAGTTTTTATGGGAAGATATTTCCTTTTTCACCATAGGCCTCAAAGCGCTCGAAATCTCCACTTCCAGGGAGTGCAGAAAGAGTGTTTCGAACCTGCTCTGTAAAAGATTATTTAACTCTGTGACTTGAATGCAAACATCACAAAGCAGTTTCTGACAATGCTTCCGTCTAGATTTTTTATGAAGATATTCCCGTTTCCAACGAAATCTTCAAAGCTATCTAAATATCAACTTGCAGATTCTACTAAAGGAATGTTTCCAAAATGCTGTATCCAAACAAAGGTTCAACTCTGTGAATTGAGGACATACAGCACAAAGAAGTTTCTGAGAATGCTTCTGTCTAGATTTAATATGAAGATAACCCGTTTCCAACGAAATCCTCAAAGCTATCCAAATATCCACTTGCAGATTCTACAAAAAGAGTGTTTCAAAACTGCTCTGTCAAAAGGATGGTTCAACACTGTTACATGAGTACACACAACACAAAGAAGTTTCTGAGAACGCTTCTTTCTGGTTTTTATGAGAAGATATTTCCTTTTTCACCATAGGCCTCAAAGCGCTCGAAATGTCCACTTCCTGGTAGTGCAGAAAGAGTGTTTCATACCTGCTCTATGAAAGGAAGTGTTCAACTCCATGAGCTGAATGCAAACATCACAGAGAAGTTTCTGAGAATGCTTCTGTTTGATTTTATATGAAGAAATTCCCGTTTCCAACGAAATCTTCAAAGC